>NC_000005.10:165458293-165761324 GCF_000001405.40 Homo sapiens
GTCTACTGACTGAGAATAATTTTTCTAACCTGCTCTGTTTCTATTGAAACAATGTCTTATGTTTCTCTCAAGAGAAGCTTCAAAATTATGTATATATCCAGCAGGCACATGTAAGTATATGTGTCTGAGAGTCATATGTCCTGCAGATATAAAGCACTAAACCTGAAAATACACAAAAAGAAAAACCCTTTCTCAACCAAAGTACAACAGGACAGATTTTATATTATTTATTTTTAAAAGTAAGCCATGTTCAAATTAAATGTCAAGCATAATTTTGTATTTGAAATTTGAAATTTGTGATTATCCTTAGAGAAAAATCATAGAACACATGTCTTCTTGCCAAATTTGTATTTGCATAATAGTGAACTATGAGGTTATAGATCACTTTGTGGCAGAGTGCCAACCCATAAACTGCTTGGTAAAGCTACTAAAAACTTCAATCTGAAATGAATTTATTTCAGTTAGGAGTTTGAATCCTCTATAGAAAATAAAATGCACTGGAGTCTCTTAGTTCTTAAAAAAGAAAAGACGGAGAGAAAATACGAAATTCTGTGTATTTCCACATTTCTTCCTTTAACTGCTACAGACATAAATGCAAAATGAATGTTGACATATTTGTTTAGCATCCCTGAACAGATTAAACTGCTTTAGAAGTTCTTCTGTAATCAGGCTTGAAAAATAGAAACTAACATTCACATCCTTGGATAGATTAAATTGTTTCCAAAGTTTCTCATTAATCAGACACGAAAAATTGTTTGTAAACGTAGAAGTAGGTCCTTTGAAAAGTACTCAAAATTTTTCTTGCGACAAAATTTTTGCAATTTCACTATATAATGCTATTTTTGTCGTATACGTATTAGAAATATGTATACCTGTATCACTTGTCTGTGTCCTTTATTGGCGAGTTGCTAAATAGCAAAAGATTTTGATCCATTGTGGAGTACAGTGTGTGTATAAAAAGAACACTGGGTCTGAATTGTGAAGCTGACTGCCAATTACTTATGATGTGTCTTTGGGCAAAGAAAATAGAAAGAAAATATAATTTTTTTAAAGTTTGGACTTCTTTCCAAGTGAATTCCAAGTACTTGAGTGTTCTTCTTCATAATAAGTCTGTAAGTTTAACAGTGCAGCACACATTTTAGGAATGAGGAAACTAAATCCTGGAGATATTAATGGACTTGTGTGATTCAGTATAGCTAGTAAGTAGTGCAGTTAACATTATATATTAGAACTATCTCACACCAAACTTCCTGTCCCTCTTAGGCTATGATGTCTTTCTTATCCTGCTTTTCTCCTTTGTTAAAAGAAGGAATTGGGCTATATTATCATTATTTTTATATTTTCTATAGCTCTCGTGTACATGGGTCTGTGTTTGGGGATTTTTGTTTGTTTGTTTGGGTTTTTTTTTTTTCTTTTCTTTGACAAGGTCTTGCTCTGTTGCCTAGGCTGGAGTGCAGTGGCGCAATCATGGCTCACTACAGCCTGGAACTCCTGGGCTCAAGTGATCTTTTGCCTCAGTATTCTGAATAGCTGGGACTGCATGCTCATGCCATCATACCTGGCTAGTTTTTTCTTTTTCATTTTTCTTATGTAGAAACAGTCTCACTATGTTGACAAGGCTGGCTTTGAACTCCTGGCCTCAAGCAATCCTGCCATCTTGGCCTCCCAAAATGCTGGAATTACAGGCATGAGCCACCACGCTGAGCCTATGATTCGATTCAGTCTCCCGTTTCCAAATAAAGGCATATTACCTGAGTATTATATAATACACAGAATTCATTGTGTCACTTTCACTTCATCTTCCATTCAAATTCTCTAAATTCTTGCTGAGCAGGCTCTGACAGATGGGATAAGGAATGATTCCTCTATTGTAGAAACTGATAGTATTCCAGTAGTGTGAGCTCTTGACTTTATTTCCATCACTCAGCCAATGAATATCAATGATTCTTGAACTTTGCTATATACCATGGCAGGCAATAAAGACATATGCACCACCAGATTTTTATTTGACTTGATAAACTTACGCTGTACATTTCAAGATATTTTACAGTGACCACCAGTAGTTCCCTTAAAAGTCCTGTCATTCACGTATTATTCTTTCTAAAATGGTATGACATTGAGTTGTTTCAATTGCCAAATAGTAATTAGGAAAGAATATAGTCTCTCACTTTCAGGGAATTTTTTAAATGAAAAATGCATGTAAATAATTTTAATTTCTATTTGCTTTTCCTCACATGCCAAAAATTATTAGATTTATCTTAGGCATTTAGAAAGGCTTATAGTGTGCGTTTCAATATGAATTTAATATGGCATAAGCAAAACTCTGAGCTTTATTTCAAAAAGAGAAATGTATTAAAGAGCAGCTGGAATAGTCAAATAAGAGGTGAAACTATTAAGTCAAATGTCTCATGACAGAAACAATGCCAAAAATATTAATATGGACAGATTTTAATTTTAACTATGATGGAGCAATTGGAATGTCTTACCTGCATAAACACTGTAAACCTGGACAAAATCTATGCAGACAGTATACTCAGATATGGAATAATAGGCAGCTTATGAAGGAGATCCTTAAGAAGTGTGAAATGCACAAGACGTATTCAACTTTCATGGCTGCTTTTTAGGTGGAGAAAGTTTCCAAATAAACAGAAACCAAGGATCCCATCGACTAGAGAAAATAGAAATCAAAATTTGGGGCCATTGAGGGTGTTAGAATCTGTAGGACAGTATAGTGGAGACAAGAAATCCATTCAGAGAAAAAATCTTAAAAATTGGCATAAGGTTACACTTAAGTCTTTAGCCAGTGACTCATGTGCACGTGAAACACTACAAGACAGGACGGAGAACAGCTACTGAAGGTCTGTGAACTGAAAATAATAAACAAATAAATAAATATGCATTGCTGGAAGACATTGGTTTTCAGACTATCGAGACTGGAAAAAAGCCTTTCTAAACTCACCAAGGATTCAGTCTATTCTATAGGAAGGTCAAACCTCACCAGTAAGTCTAGTTTAAACTCAGTCTAAAAAGGCTTAAAGTCACTCTTCAACAGGATAAATCTGTACAACTCAGTAACTGTTAAAGAAATAAAACATAATTTATACTCTGAAAATATAGTATCCACAAGATTGAGACTATCACTATAATAACTATACTGCACTCCCCCAAAAGAAAAGATGAACCATCATTATGAGAAAAAGTAGTCAGTGGAAATAGTCTCAGACATCCTGTGTATGTTAGAATGACCTGCCAAGAACTTTAAAACAGCTATTATTAAAATGTTCAATGTTATAATGAAAAAGTATACAAAATAAATGACCAATGGAGAAGCTCAACAGATAAATGAAAAATACAAAACAGTACCAAATAACCATTCAACAACCAAGAATTAAAATATCTAAAATGAAAATTTTTCTGTGCAGCGCCAGTCAAGATTAGATAGTGCACAAGAAATAATTCAGTAAGCTTAAAGACAGATCAGAAGACATGAAATATACATAAGAACAGAAAGGAAAAATACTAGAAAATAGATGTATGCATCTGTGAATTATAGGAAAAACAATTATGCTATCTACTGTGTATGTAATTGAAGAAGCAGAAAGAAAATAGGGATCTTCCAAATCTGGTAAAATATACAATACAGTCCCAAAAAGCATATTGTATACTATGAAAAAAAGAGAATAAATAAGACCTACTATTTGATAGCACAGTAGTGTAACTATAGTCAATAATAACCTAATTGTATATTTTAAATAAGTTAAAGAATGTAACTGGATTGTTTGGAACTCAAAGAATAAATGCCTGGGGGGAGGGCTCTCCCATTCCCTATGATGTGCTTATTTCACATTGCATGCCTACATCAAAACATCTCATGCACCCCATAGATATATACACCTACTATGTACCCACAGAAATTTTAAAAAATAATAAATGTTTTTTTTTAAAAAGGAAATCTAACTCTGGTCAAATTTTCAAAAATCAAAGACAATGAGGAAATATTAAAAGCAGACAGAGAATAAAAGGAAGATTTTATATATAGGAGAAAAATTAAAATACTAATATTTGACTTCTTATTAGATACATCATAAATCAGAAGGCAATGGAATGACCATTTTAAAGGATCAAAGAGAAAAAAGCCACATAGAAATCTCAACCTATGGGCCATAGCCTTTAAAAATACAGTAAAACAAAGACTTCATATAAACTAAAGGTAAGAAAATTTAAGACAACAGTATTAAGAAATTGTTAAGCTTCTTCATCATTCCTCAAGTTGAGTAAAATGATATGAGAAGAAACTGCAGGTCTACTTGAAAGGATAAAAAACACAGGAAACCATAAATATGTGGATAAGAAAAAAGGCTTATTTTTAAAAATTATACCTGTCCGAATGGCAAGCGTTTTTGATTTAAAACGTTATGTAAAATAAACATATATGTCAATAGTATCCTGAAGAACTGGATGGCGACAAATGGAAGTATACTGCTCTGCTGTATATAAAAACATAAAAGTTAAACACTAAAGCTTCTAAATCAAAACACTAGGGGGGCAGTATTTCTTATGAAAAAATAAACAATGGATGATTAAAAAAATACATAAACTTAATTTCTGCCTCACGATGATGTATGGGGCAGAAGTTAAAATTATTTCTTATTAATTAAGAAAATTAAAAAGCAAGCCAGAACTGGCAGAAAATATTATTGAAACATATATGTGAAAAACTTCTGTCTAGAATATAGGACTAACTCTTACAATTTAATTGTAAGTAGAGAAGCAACTCATCTCTGTGTGTTTTTTTTTCCATGTGCAAAATATTTGAACAGAAACTTTAAAAAGATAGATATAAAAATGGCAGCTAAGCACATGATAGCGTGCCCAACTTCATTAATCATCAGAGAAATGCAAATTAAAACCACATGGAGATAGCATTAAACACCCTTTAGGGTGGATTATATTAAAAGATTGACCACACCAAGTGTTTGAGAGAATGTGGACAACTGAAACTAATGGAGATTTACAATAATATAACCAATCAAAATGGAAGATGGTATAGTCACTTTGGCAAACATTTAGTCATTTTCCTATCAGTTTAAATATATGCTCACCATTGACCCAGCCATTGCATTCTTAGATATTTTTTTCAAAAAGAAACAAAAACATATCTCTACATGAATTGTACATAAATTAAATACATAACTTGTATGTGAATAGTAATATCAGATGTATTCTTACTAACCCAAGCTGGAAAATAGTAACTACACATAGTAACATGAAAAAATAAATTCTATATTACTCTAATGGAATACAGTACAATAGTGATTACTTAGTTATTACAATGTGTAAAAATATGATGTTCTTACAAACATAAATTGAGTGAAAGACATATATTTCTTCCTTGTATAAACTGTATGATTACACTTATTCTAAACTGCCTATGGTGTGAGAAGTCAGGAGGCTGGTTATCTTTCTAAGGGACAGTTACACATGGGCCATTGTGGCATTTCTGGAGTTCCAATAATATGGGGATTAATTATTAGGTGCTTTATTTACTTTGTAAAATATTAATTGTGCTGTAAACCTATGATGTTTTGCTCTTTTTTTGCCTTGATGTTATTTTCAAAAACTTGCACTGAAAAGTTAAACAATTACAGAAAGAGAACAGAGATGGTCATATGAGCTTGAAGTAAAACTGAGATTTAATCTGGCTTTGGAAAGCTGATTAGAATTACACTACTCCACATATTTTTACACCACTTGCCATAATTTTGCATACGACATCTAATACAATGCTTGGAAAATTGTAGGCATGCAATGAATCTTGTTTGAATATGAAATTCTAAGGGAATGAGTGCGTGACTACCATACATAAAACGAAGAGCATGGATTGGATCATCATGGCCAACGGGAGGCAGGACTAGATTGCCAATCTGACTTGGATGGACAGAGCAGCGGTGCAGAGGAGCGCATCGTGGATTTTACCTCCAGGTCAACTGCAAGAACGAACCAGGAATCCCAGGAAGAACCACAGACCCTCTGAAGGAAGTGGACTGCTCATGCAGAACCCTGGAAACACCCCAAATACTGTGAATGCCCCAACTGCGGAAGTGGGAAACAGAGATCCTCCTCTCCCGAACACACATCCCCACTGGGGAAGCTGAAGCTCCGTTTGGGAAAGAAGTTTCGACCTTACCTGGAGGTGATTCAATCTAGAGAGCAGAGCGAAATACAGGAGTGGAGAACGCAGCGGGAAAACCCTGGAAGCTCTCTATGTCCCCAAGCAGGCCATTCCTGCCTGGCACCACAGGGATCCTTCTGGAGGATGGCCAGAGGAGCAGAGAAAAACGCCATAGGGAGAGGAGGAAATCTCTAGCTGAACTTTGTAGCAATTTGAACTGGGTGAGAAGCCTCCTTACCAGAACTCAGAGGAGTGCACGAATCCAGTGTGCAGTCTTCACAGGTGGGGGAAGAACCTAGGCGGGTAGCCTGGGGCAAGTTCTCAAGCCTGGCTTGCCTACCGCCTGGAAACAAACTCCGAGCTGTTGGAGCGGGGGGCATGGTGGGAGTGAGACTGGCTCTTTAGTTTACGTGGGAGCTGGGTGAGGCCTATGACTGCCAGGTTTCCCCCACTTCCCTGACAACCTGCATGACTCAGCAGAGGCAGTCATAATCCACCTAGATACACAACTCCATTGGCCTGGGAACCTTATCCCCATCTCCCACAGCAGCCACAGCAAGACCCACCCAAGGAAAGTCTGAGCTCAGACACGCCTAGCCCTGCCTCCACCTCATGGGCCTTCCCCTATCCACCCTGGTAGCTGAAGACAAAGGGCATATAATCTTGGGATTTCTAGGGCCCTGCCCACCACCAGTTCCTCTTCATATTACCACAGCCGGTGCTCTCTGGAAAGCGCCACTTCCTGATAGGAGACCAACCAGCATAAAATTAGTGCATTAAATCACCAAAGCTAAGAACACTCACAGAGTCCATTTCACCCCCTGCCACCTCCACTGGAACAGGTGCTGGTATCCATGGCTGAGAGACCTATAGATGGTTCACATCACAGGACTCTATGCAGACAACCCCCAGTACCAGCTTGGGGCTGGATAGACTTGCTGGGTGGCTAGACCCAGAAGAGATATAACAATCACTGCAGCTCGGCTCACAGGAAGCCACATCCATAGGGAAAGGGGGAGAGTACTGCATCAAGGGAACACCCTGTGGGACAAAAGAATCTGAAAAATAGCCTTCAGCCCTAGGCCTTCCCTCTGACAGAGGCTGCCCAAATGAGAAGGAATAAGAAAACCAGCTCTAGTAATATGACAAAACAAGGCTCTTTAGCACCCCCCAAAAATCACACTAGTTCACTAGCAATGGATCCGAACCAAGAAGAAATCCCTGATTTACCTGAAAAAGAATTCAGGAGGTTAGTTACTAAGCTAATCAGGGAGACACTAGAGAAGGGTGAAGCCCAATGCAAGGAAATCCAAAAAATGATGCAAGAAGTGAGGGGAGAAATATTCAAGAAAATAGATAGCTTAAAGAAAAAAAAATTAAAAATTCAGGAAACATTGGACACACTTAAAGGAATGCAAAATGCAGCCGGGCATGGTGGCTCACGCCTGTAATCCGAGCACTTTGTGAGGCTGAGGTAGGTGGATCATGAGGTCAGGAGTTTGAGACCAGCCTGACCAACATAGTGAAACCCCGTCTCTACTAAAAATACAAAAAATTAGCCAGGCGTGGTGGCGGGCACCTGTAATCCCAGCTACTCGGGAGGCTGAGGTAGGAGAATTGCTTGAACCTAGGAGGCAGAGGTTGCAGTGAGCCAAGATTGCGTCATTGCACTCCAGCCTGGGCGACAGTGCGAGACTCCATCTCAAAAAGAAAAAAAAAGGAAATGCAAAATGCTCTGGAAAGTCTCAGCAATAGGCTTTAACAAATCGAAGAAAGAAATTCAGAGCTTGAAGACAAGGTCTTCAAGTTAACCCAATCCGACAAAGACAAAAAAAAAATAAGAAAATATGAACAAAGCCTCCAAGAAACCTGCGATTATGTTACTTGACCAAAACTAAGAATAATCAGTGTTCCTGAGGAAGAAGAGAAATCTAAAATTTGGAAAACATATTTTGGGGAATAACTGAGGAAAACTTCCCCAGCCTTGCTAGAGACTTAGACATCCAAATACAAGAAGCACAAAGAACACCTGGGAAATTCATCACAAAAAGATCATCACCTAGGCACGTTGTCATCAAGTTATCTAAAGACAAGACGAAGGAAAGAATCTTTAGAGCTGTGAGACAAAAGCACCAGGTAACCCATAAGGAAAACCTATCAGATTGACATTAGATTTCTCAGCAGAAACCCTACAAGCTAGAAGGGATTGGGGCCCTATCTTCAGCCTCCTCAAACAAAACAATTATCAGTCAATGATTTTGTATCCAGGCTGGGTGCGGTGGCTCACACTTGTAATCCTAGCACTTTGGAAGGCTGAGACAGGCAGATCACGAGGTCAAAAGTTTGAGACCAGCCTGGCCAACACAGTGAAACCCCATCTGTACCAAAAATATAAAACTTAGCTGGGCATGGTGGTGGGCACCTATAATCCCAGCTATGTGGAGGCTGAGGCAGGAGAATAACTTGATCCCAGGAGGCAGAGGTTGCAGTGAGCAGAGATTGTGCCCCTGCACTCCAGCCTGGATGACAGAGCGAGACTCCATCTCAAAAAAAAAAAAAAAAAAAAAAAAAAAGGTTTCTGTATCCAGTGAAACTAAGCATCATATATGAAGGAAAGATGCAGTCCTTTTCTGCCAAACAAGTGCTGAGAGAATTCACCCCTACCAAGCCACCACTACAACAACTCCTAAAAGAAGCTCTAAATCTTGAAACAAATCCTGGAAACACATCAAAACAGAATCTCTTTAAAGCATAAATCACATAGAAACTATAAAAGAAAAATACAAGTTAAAAGGAAAAACAAACAAAGAAAACAAGGTACACAGGTAACAAATAGCAGTATGAATGCAAGGGTACCTCACCTCTCAATACTAATATTGAATGTAAATGGCCTAAATGCTCCACTTAAAAAATACAGAATTGCAGAATGAATAAGAACTCACCAACCAATTCTCTGCTGCCTTCAGGAGAAGGACTGACATAAGGATATAAAAACCCACATAAAGTAAAGGGGTGGAAAAAGGCATTTCATGCAAATGGACACCAAAAGCAAGCAGGGGTAGCTATTCTTATAGCAGACAAAACAAACTTTAATGCAGCAACAGTTAAAAGCGACAAAAAGGGTCACCATATAATGGTAAAAGACCTTGTCCAACAGGAAAATATCACAATTCTAAACATACATGCACCTAACACTGGAGCTCCCAAATTTATAAAACAGTTACTAATGACCTAAGAAATGAGATAGACAGCAACACAATAATAGTGAGGGACTTCAGTACTCCACTGATACTGCTAAACCGATCATCAAGATGGAAAGTCAACAAAGAAACAATGGATTTAAGCTATACATTGGAACAAATGGACTTAACAGATGTATACAGGACATTTCATCCAACAACCAGAGAATACACATTCTATTCAACAGCGCATGGAACTTTCTGCAAGGCAGACCACATTATAGGCCACAAAACGAGCCTCAATAAATTTAATAAAATTGAAATTATATCAAGCACTCTCTCAGACCACAGTGGAATAAAACTGGAAATCAACTCTATTTCATCCAACAACCAGAGAATACACATTCTATTCAACAATGCATGGAACTTTCTGCAAGATAGACCATAAGATAGGCCACAAAATGAGCCTCAATAAATTTAAGAAAATTGAAATTATATAAAGCACTCTCAGACCACAGTGGAATAAAACTGGAAATCAACTCCAAAAGGAAAACCATGCAAATACATGGAAATAAAGTAACCTGCTCCTGAATGAGCATTGAGTCATAAATGAAATCAAGATGGAAATTAAAAAATTCTTCGAACTCAACAACAATAATGACACAACCCATCAAAACCTCTGGGATACAGCAAAGGTGGGGCTAAGAAGAAAGTTCATAGCCCTCAACACCTACATCAAAAAGAATGAAAGAGCACAAACTGACAATCTAAGGTCACACCTCAAGGAACTATAGAAACAAGAACAAACCAAAACCAAACCCAGCAGAAGAAAGGAAATAACCAAGATCAGCGCACAACTAAATGAAATTTAAACAAACAAACAAACAAAAAAAAAACAAAAGATAAATGAAACAAAAAGCTTGTTATTTGAAAAGATAAATAAAATTCATAGGCCATTAGCAAGTTTAACCAAGAAAAGAGAGAAAATCCAAACAACCTCATTAAAAAATGAAACAGGAGATATTACAACTGACAGCACTGAAACACAAAACCATTTAAGATTACTATGAACACCTTTATGTGCATAAACTAGACAACCTAGTAGAGATGGATAAATTCCTGGAAAAATACAACCCTCCTAGCTTGAATCAAGAAGAATTAGATACCCTGAACATACCAATAACAAGCAACAAGATTGAAATGGTAATTTAAAATTTTAAAAATTTCCAACAAGAAAGTCCAGGACCAGAAGGATTCACAGCAGAATTCTACTAGATGTTCAAAGAAGAATTGGTACCAATCCTTTTGACACTATTCCACAACACAGAGAAAGAGAGAAACCTCCCTAATTCATGCTATGAAGCCTGCATCACTCTACTACCTAAACCAGGAAAGGCCATAACTAAAAAAGAAAACTGCAGACCAATATCCTTGATGAACACAGATGCTGAAATTTTTAATGAAATACTAGCTAACTGAACCCAACAACATATCAAAAAGATAATCCACCATAATCAAGTGGGTATCATACCAGGGATGCAGGGATGGTTTAACATCCACAAGTCAATAAATATGATACACCACATAAACGGAATTAAAAACAAAAAACACATGATCATCTCCATAGATGCAGAAAAAGCATTTGACAAAATCCAGCATCCATTTATGATTAAAAGTCTGAGCAAAATCCACATAGAAGGGCTATACCTCAATGTAATAAAATCTATCTCTGACAAACCCACAGCCAACATAATACTGAATGGGGAAAAGTTGAAAGCATTCACTATGAGAACTGGAACAAGACAAGGATGCCCCCTCTTCGTCTTCAACATAGTACCAGAAGTCCTAGGCAGAGCAATCAGACAAGAGAAAGAAATAAAGGACATCCACATCGGTAAAGAGGAAGTGAAACTGTCATTGTTTGCTGACGATATGATCGTTTACCTTGGAAATCCTAAAGACTCCTCCAGAAAGCTCCTAGAACTGATGAAAGAGTTCAGGAAGATTTCCAGATACAAGATTAACGTACACAAATCAGTAGGTCTTCTATACAAGAGCAACCAAGTGGAGAATCAAATCAAGAAATCAACCCCTTTTAAAATAGCTACAAAAATAATAATAATACTTAAGAATATACCTAACCAAGGAGACAAAGACCTCTACAAGTAAAACTACAGAACACTGCTGAAGAAATCACAGATGATACAAACAAATGGAAACACATCCCATGCTCATGGATGGGTAGCATCAATATTGTGAACATTACCATGCTGCCAAAAGCAATCTACAAATTCAATGCTATCCCCATCAAAATACCACCATCAGTCTTCACAGAATTAGAACAAACAATTCTAAAATCCATACTGAACCAAAAAAAAAGAGCCTGCATAGCCAAAGCAAGACTAAGCAAAAAGAACAAATCTGGAGGCATCACACTACTTGATTTCAAACTACACTATAAGGCCATATTCACCAAAACAGCATGGTACTGGTATAAAAATAGGCACATAGACCAATGGAACAGAACAGAGAACCCAGAAATAAACCTAAACACTTACAGCCAACTTATCTTCAACAAAGCAAACAAAAACCATAAAGTTGGGAAAGGACACACCATTCAACAAATGGGATAATTGGCTAGCCACATGTAGGAGAATGAAACTGGATCCTCATCTCTCACCTTATACAAAAATCAACTCAAAATGGATTAAGGACACAAAGCTAAGACCTGAAACTATAAAAATTCTAGAAGATAACATTGGAAAAACCCTCTTAGACATTGGCTTAGGCAAGGATTTCATGACCAAGAACCCAAAAGCAAATGCAATAAAAATAAAGATGAATGGTTGGAACTTAACTAAAGAACTTTTGCACAGCAAAAGGAACAGTCATCAGAGTAAACAGACAACCCACAGAGTGGGAGAATATCTTCACAATCTATACATCTGACAAAGGACTAATATCTAGAATCTACAATGAACTCAAATCTGCAAAAAAAAAAAACAAAAAAAAAATCCCATCATAAAGCAGGCTAAGGACATGAATAGACAGTTCTCAAAAGAAGATATACAAATGGCCAAAAAACATATGAAAAAATGCTCAACATCACTAATGATCAGGTAAATGCAAATGAAAACCACAATGCAATACCACTTTACTCCTGCAAGAATGGCCATAATCAAAAAATCAAGAAACAGTAGATGTTGACATGGATGCGGTGATCAGGAAACACTTCTACACTGCTGTTGGGAATGTTAACTAGTACAGCCAGTAGGGAAAACAGTGTGGAGATTCCTTAAACAGCTAAAAGTAGAACTACCATTTAATCCAGCAATCCCACTACTGGGTATCTACCCAGAGGAAAATAAGTCATTATACGAAAAGATACTTGCACATGCATGTTTATAGCAGCACAATTCACAATTGCAAAATCGTGGAACCATACCAAATGCCCATTAATCAAAGAGTGGATAAAGAAAACTGTGATATATATATATATATATATATATATATATATATATATATATATACACACACACACACACACACACATACACACACATACACACAATGGAATACTGTGATATATCACAGTTTTGATATATGTATATACACACAATGGAATACTGCTCAGCCATAAAAAGGAATGAATTAACAGCATTTGCAGCAACCTGGATGAGACTGGAGACTATTTTTCAAAGTGAAGTAACTCAGGAATGGAAAACCAAACATTGTATGTTCTCACTGATACGTGGGAGCTAAGCTATGAGAATCAAAGGCATAAGAATGATACAATTGAGTTTGGGGAGTTGTGCGGAAGGGTGGGAGGGGAGGCAAGGGATAAAAGACTACAAATAGGGTGCAGTGTATACTGCTCAGGTGATGGGCGCACCAAAATCTCAGAAATCACCACTAAAGAACTTACTCATGTAACCAAATACCACCTGTACCCCAATAACTTATGGAAAAATTAAAATTAAAGAAAGAAAAAAGATTAAAAAACCCAGGTGTGTTATTGATGATTATTTCACAAAAATAGAAATATACAGGGAATAAAATCACTTTATGGTGACTAGACAATATAGTTTCTTAATGTATTAAATTAGAATATAACAAGATATATAGATAATTAATCAAACGTGTAGGGGTTTATTTTGCACAACTACTTTGTTGCTTTAATGGCTCTTGAGAAGTTAAACAATGGCCCCTTTTTCAGTATAATGAATTTTTTATCTTAAACATACTAAATATACTATAAGAAATGATATTTTGACATGATTTCAGGCAATGAAACACTCATCAATTTTCATGGCACAATAGTTTCTATCCAGAGCAGTTCATATGGAACAAAATTGCACTGTGCACTGTTCAATTTTGAATGAACCCCAAATGGTTTTCTTTTTTCTGTGTATTGCAAGAAAGAAGTTTGAAGAGGTAGCATCTTCTCTAAATATTTGTGTTGGTTGTATCTGTTCTTCCCACTTATTCTGAAGGGCTTTGGTGTTTGTCTTTATTTACCTACAAAGGTGCTTTAAGTTTATATTAAAGTAAAGGTGGAGTGCAAGATAACAATGAGCCTGTAAAGTCTAAATAGTTGTTTAGAAAATGTGTCAAAATGAAGAATGAATTTACTTTCCAGGGAATGACTTCCTTACCTACCTTCTGTGCCAGTCACCCAGTCACGTTTTCTTCTTTGGTGAGTAAAATATAGATTTATTTTATTAAATGTCATATACCAACTCTTGTGTTTATTCATTTTCAAATACTTGCTTATGACTCATATAAACTTTTTTTTTTTGCTATTGTCTTTTCTATCTGTAAAAGTTATACATCTTGGGTTAGGATGAACTATATCATACTACATCATATTTTTCTTTTCTTTTTTTTTCTTTGGAGACAGGGTCTCTCTCTTGTCATCCAGGCTGGAGTCAGTGGCACAATCTTGGCTCACTGTGACTTCTGCCTCCCAGGATCAAGTGATCCTCCTGGCTCAGCCCCACAAGTAGCTGGGACTACAGGCACACACCACCACACCAGGCTAATTTTTGTGTTTTTTGTAGGATGGGTTTTCACTATGTTGTCCAGGCTGCTCTCAAACTCCTGGGCTCAAACAATCCTCCTGCCTCAGCCTCCCAGGGTGCCGGGACTACAGGTTGAGCCACAACACCCAGCCCATATTTTTCCTTATTAAAATTAATGAAAATATTTTTTCATGTCATGACTTTTTTACTTGGCAGCAGGGCTTCCAGGAATAAATTGAAATGACTAAGCACTAGATGTATAAGTGTGATATCCCAAGACCGGTGTCTTTGATTACAAACAGAATTCTTAATTAACTAACATTCTTCAGACAAAGCACATTTTTCTTAAAATGGAACCATCAACTGTTACAAACTGGGGGTTCTTGCCTTCTACATTTGTCCACCTAAATTGCATTCAGTTTCCCATATTCAAAAACAAACTCATGATGAACCATCCTCCAAAAGCAAAGACTCCTTTGAGTTTCCTATTTATATAATGACCTCAAACTCATTTAGAACCTAAAGACTAAAATCAAACCTTATTGTCTTCTGTAAAATGCTTTCGTCAAAATAGTTCTTTTTTAAATTCCCACCAGCAATCCAGGCATGTGGATGAATGAACCTGGCTCTCTTCACTAATTTATGAATAAACGTTTTATGTGTACATACTCAATAGTCAACAGTTACCTGTGCTTACATTTTTGGTTCTTTGGGAAGTTACCATCTGGCACAATAGAATGGTTGTGTGATTTCTTCCTCTCGGCATCTTATTATTTTTTCCTCCATGGACATGTACTCATCAGTAGAGATCTTATAATTATGGATCCTTCATCATCATTATCAGCCTTTTTGGAATATGTCCAGGAAAAGCCAGGATACTCAATAATGTATGCATTCATTTCAAAACATGGAATATCTTTTCTTGGCAGGCCCAGTGTTATTTGTAGGAGGGTACAGTAATGAACAATATCCAAGATCTGCCATTAATGAATCCATTGTTCTCTAGAAGAGATAAGTATTAAACAAATAATTAAATAAAATATATAGGGTGAACACATACCCTGTGGGAAGATAGTGGAGAAACCTCAGAACTTATCTTTGGAATGAGAGAGAAGGCATTCTGCTGGAAATAAATGTTAAGCTATGGATAACATGCGTTACCTGAAAAAAAATGAGGAGAATATTTCCCATTTGAAAAATATAGAGAAAAATGAAAACAAAAAAGGGGGGCCTATTCTTTTTCTCTTGTCCCCATTGTGGAGAACTATAGATGCTGTTTATCACCTGCCCAACATTCAACACCCACTCATCCTCCCTTTTTAACAGTGCTCAGAGTTTC
Organism: Homo sapiens; assembly: GCF_000001405.40. Lineage (NCBI taxonomy): Eukaryota > Metazoa > Chordata > Mammalia > Primates > Hominidae > Homo > Homo sapiens. The sequence continues at coordinate 165,474,005 of NC_000005.10, forward strand.
ATTTTGCCATCCTCCCCTCTCTCAATATAACCCAGTTGATGGTGACTCTTCCTTAAGCTTCTGGGGTGGACATTCATTTTTTTAAGTCAATAAATATTTTCCAACACCCTATCTTATAAGCGATGAGTCCAATCACAGTGAAGTTTATTTGGAATATCTTTCTGGATGGGATCATATACAAACGTGATGACTGAAAATGCTGTAACCATTTCTCCACTATTGCAAGAAATCAGCCATTGCATAAAGCTGGTCCTAAAAGGCAGATCATAAAACAGAAGGAAATTAAGTCCTAGCCTCTTAAATAAATGAGTTTGGAAGACAGGCTTGCCTGTGGACTTCCAGTTGTATGGGCCAAAAAAGTTTGCTTTTATTGTGTGTTGCAAGTTAGGTTCCCTGGGAAGCAAACTTTGAGATCAAGGTTAGCCTGCTAGAAATTTATCAGGGAATGTTTATGGGATCAACACCTGTGTAAAGGAAAGGAGGCAGGATCCCATAGAGGAAGAAACTGGGCAGTGATGCACTCTCAACAAAGGCCTCAGACAAACCGCAAAGAACTCTGAAAGAGGCATGTTCTTCCAAAGTAGTCCTGAGCTAGGGCAAGGAGGCTGAGCATTTATATTCCTACATCAACTGGGTGTGGACTGTCCGGAAAGGTGATGTGATCTTGACCATGGCAACTTAATCAGCCAAGGCAATCCCAAAGGGAGCTGACAGATGAGGTTGTCTGTTGGAAGCATTCCTAGTGATTGGGAAACAATGGCCTTCAATTATGATTGCGGGGGGCCTGGGTGGTGCATTATAGTGACCACTATATTGTTTAAGCTAATTTGTGTTTGGCTTTCTATTACCAGCTACAAACCAAAGGCCTCCCTATTGCTGAAAGGAGATATCATGAGTAGGAAGAAGGAGCATATATGTATATCCTCCTGTGTGAGCTGATAGACTGAAAGTGGATTCAGGAACCACATTGCCTGGGTCAAATCTCATCTCTGTCATGTGGTCTGTCACCCTGACTATGCAACTTACTCTTGTTGTGACACAATTTCTTCTTCTTTAAAATTGAAATAGTGCAAAACCTCATAGACTTTTCAGGCTATTAATTAGTTAATACCTATAGTGCATACTACCTGGAACACAATATGCTCTTTATAAGCATCTACTATTATTAATTTTATTTTATACGCTGAAATTTTCTATGGCACATTTTGCCCCATCTGCACAGTTTCAATAAAATATTAATAGGCAGATAACTAATAGTCATATTTAATGTTTTATTCCAAAGATGTGTCTAAGAGATTTTAGTTAATCACATGATAAAACATTAAATAGAATTCTTACATTCAACTCCAGTAATTTTGGGTAGATGGTGCAAAGTTTAATATGGAAATGGAATCACTGTGCTTGTGAAGATAAAGGGTGGGGGAGGCTGAGCAGAAAAAGAAATGAGCTCACAATAGCACAGTCACTCTTTCACGTGTGCATTTGTAGATTTGTCCATGGCAAAGTGTTGATCTGAATCTTTAATGGCACTTAAAATATCAACTTATGAGTATATTATTAAAATATTCACCGCATTGACAGGCTAGGAAAGAAATAAGAGAAATTTACATGTGGGTAAAATTTATTCTTAACATAAGTCACAAAGCAATTTCTGCACATTTATGAAAACTCTTAAGAGAACTAATTTAAAGCTAGCACTTTATCAAAAACTTAACAAATAGTCATATATGTATATATGAACTGTGATATATATGTATATGAATCACATTGCTAAGATTATAATTTAAAATTAACATTGTACTACTAACAGAAAGTTGGCCACATCATTAAGTTAATGAGAACATATACTTTTTCTTAATAAATTAAGATATGTTTTTATATCTTATGCTTGTCTAAATGGTTTGAAACATAATTAATTGAGATTATTTCTGCCTTAGTTCTTATTTTAAAGATTAAAATTTCCCCCCAAAATAAGACCATTATTATAGCTCCTAGATCTGTAAGGAATTAAGTCTCCTATGCTTCTTAATTTTTAAAAATTTGATTTAAATTTGACTTTGGTATAAAATATAATTGTCAGAAGGAGATGCTGCAGAAAGTTCTTTGAACAAGATTAATGCAATTCTATATTTATTATTCCTGCCTTAAGCATAAAATCCAGAACTCCATGATGACATGTGCTATCTCAGAACACTACTTTTTAATACATCTATTTTGAGTTACTTCAAAGTTTTCAAAGTATGAGTATTAAAGTAGAAATCTGATTCAAAGTGAAAGTGTCAGAAGTAAGAATCTAAATCATTTTCTTAGAAGGCAAAGATCAGAAGTGATATGGATAAACTTGGATTCAGCTCAGGATGTCCTTTGAGCTTTTTAAAACAAACGTTATTTAATTAAGAAAATACTGGGCTTGACAGCCCAGTATAATAATGAAATGCATTTTATTTTCCAGTTTCCACTCCTGTTTTGAATCTTACTTGGGGTAATTATTTGGCTTGTTATCTCTTTTCCTGAGGGTAGATTTTAATTTGTTTTCCTCTGGCCTGCTGTATTAGATGAGTTTCTTTTGGTTACAAGTAATAGACACCTCAATCAGATTAACTTGTGCTTAAAAGAAAGGACAGAGAGTAGAATTTACCGGAAGAATACAGGCCATCTCAATCAAAGGTAAAGAAGTATAGTTCTTCCTCCAAAAAGGAAGTAACAAAGAACTGGAACAACAGAAACAAGGGAATCTTTGTCTCTCGGATACTATGCAGTTTTCTGGCTCTCCTTTTCTATGGAAATAGGCTAATTTCAGTCTCTATGCAGTGGCTTTCTCTGCTTCAGTGTTCTAGTTTTGGGGAAGCATAGACTTTCATGGCTACATAGAATCTTAGAATTCTAATTCTAAATCCTAGGTAGAGAGAGAGTGAATGGTCCAGTTTGTATGAGGTGTCCACCTTTAGTCCAGTGGGCTGTGGCCAAGGCTGGTGAGAAATGACTTCTGCTGCCTCTCAGCAGGAGCTGCAGAGTCAGAATTACTTCTGCAGGGAAGAGGATGTAGGGAATAAGCAGTTTTAAGTATAGGAGGCATAGACTCAACGGGCACACAAAAGTATTGCCTATATCCATAAGGGGAATTTTCAGTTATCTGCATAATTCAATTTCCCAGGATTTCTTGAATCAATTTGTACTTATATTGAAAAGATACCTACATATGCATTGGAAGGAGAAATACTATTAATTTCGTTTTATATGCTGAAATTTTCTATGGCACATTTTGCCATAGAAAATTCATGTCAATAATCTCTAACGGGTTTTAAGATTATGAAGTTTTTTCATGACACTCTGATTTGATTCTATAGAATTTAAGAGTTTTTAAATCTGTTAATATAAAGTCCATTAGCTACTTTAAGTCATTAACAGATCATTGATGTACACAAGGGAATCTTAAATATTTCTAAAATAATTAAGAAAAGATAGCTTTAAGGCTACTGGCAACAATATATAATTAAAAGAATAAAAAATGATGGAAATAATAAACTGAATATTGCATACAGTGGACATGAAGTTTGTTTTTATTTGGCTTTTACAGATGCCTTAAACATTTTTTTTCCCCCAGTTCAATCTAGAGGTTCTGGCATACTTTGCTTGAAAGAAATTTTCCATTTCTCCTTACTGGAAGGAGAAGAGCAAAAATCCAACTTGGATTTGTTCAGCATCCTCTTCGCCTCCCGAGACAATCAAAATGCTTCCAGGATCTCTGCAACAGGCAGAATGTTGCCAAATGAAAATGTCCACAGGATGCTACTTTCTCATTTTAGCTGTCAGCCTCAAGGAGACAGCTCCAGTGCAAACCTCCCATTGCCCGCCCTATAAGTTTCTCATTCCAAGGGAGTTGTGGGTCAAATGTGAAGGCAGCTCTCAGTGAAACCAAAAACACAATAGTCTTTGGATGATTTAATCACAGGCCTCATATTGCAGATTATATTATCTTCACAAACTGTTTAATTTGAATTTAAATCAAAACAAGAAACAAATAGATAATAAAGTGTTCTTAATTTTTCCCTTCTAACATCGAATAGCCTGGACCAAATGTAGTTTAATGGGTTCATCTTAAAATCCCATCAAACAAGCAACAAATAGGCTTCTAGCTCAGTAGTTGTCCAATGATAAGAGACACTTCTCAAAAATGAAATTCTAAGTCCTAGTGACAGGAAATAATATGACTGTGTAGGGTGCTCTATTTTTTTTTCTTTTCCCGACACCTGCAAATAATTTTGAATAGCATTTTTATCTAATTTGAATGAAGTGTTTTGTCCTTTTAAAAAATAAACACATTTAGCACCTGAAAATATTATCTTGGCCTCTGGCTGACATAATTCTTCAGCTCTCCCTGTAATTTAAGAGCACAAGGTGACTCCCTGTATGATGTGTACATCATATGAACTATAACTATAACTCAGCAAGTGAAGGAAATCTGAGCAAACATTTGGTTGTATAAAAAAATTAAGTCCCACCCTCTAGATAAACCCCTTAAATGGAGTTATATTTTTTAGCCATGAACAACCCCTCTGTATTATGTGAAAGCAATCCTATCTTGGACAAATTCCTGTCCTCTTAACATCTTGTTGAAAGAGATACTGAAAAGAAGGCCAGGTTTGTTTGTATGTTATGAGTAAGTCAGAAAAGGTGATATAATTCATTTTTTTCCTTTTTTTTTTTTTTTTTTGGAAACGGAGCCTCGCTCTGTTGCCCAGGCTGGATGGCAGTGGTGCAATCTTGGCTGATCGCAACCTCCACCTCCTGGGTTCAAGCAATTCTCCTGCCTCAGCCTCCCGAGTAGCTGGGACTATAGGTGCACGCCACCATGCCCAGATAATTTTTTGTATTTTATTAGAGGTGGGGTTTCACCGTGTTGCCCAGGCAAAAGGTGATAAAATCCAAAACAGCTTAATGCATGAGAAAAGGAACAAATGAATTAATAAATAAATCCTTTAAATCCCATGGGATCACGTAGTTGGGAGGTCAGATGAACATAAAGAAAACCCAGTCAAGCTTCCTTGCTTTTATAAATTAGGAAATGAAAACATTTAGGGACAGGACAAATGACACAACTTCATGGAGTTTTTCCTTAGTCTACTAGTTTCTCCTGTGTACCATGTTTTACTCATTATCTGGCTTTGATTACATTTGTATACAGATTTTGACAAAATCAAAGTATTAGAAGTCTGTAATGGTCAAGTTCTCTTAGTCGTGTTAGATTACGTGTCCTCATTGTTTTCCAAGAAGAAATCATACCAAAGAAGTAGGGGAATGCTTCTCTTTGCACTGAATAAAGGCTCCCAGTAGAGGTAACTCTTACTATGTTATGATATTTCCCAATATGATGTAAGACTAACAGGAGGGGAAAAAAATAAAACTTTCAATTTCTTTATTGGATTAGATTACACTGTTTTAAAAAATCTATATGGTTCTGGGATTTTACTTTTGATTTATGTGTTTTTAATGACACTTAATATAGAGTAGGTCCCTAATGATCATGAATAAATAAGCTTAACTACCCTTGAGCTATATGAAAAGGAAATTTGATAAACAGACTTACCTTGTCCTCATGGTGATACTTTAAACTTTTCTTTTAGTGAAGCTTTTATGGAGAGACCAATTTATCTTTTAGTTTCTGTAGTATGTATAACAACTAAGTCAATATATATTTATTAGTTTCAAGCAAGCTAACATTGTAATACAATGACATTTTCTAGACCATTTTCCATGAATTTGGTTTTTTACTTTTAGGTAAACACTTTGAATAATTGTATTATATTGTTAAATCTATGTTCATTTCCTTAAATGGAAAAAGTAAGTAAAATTAGTTAATGTAAAGATGTATGACTCTTCATTTTCAAGAACTATAAATAAAAAATGAGCAACTATTCAGTAGGTGCAAAAGTAATTGCCCTTTTTCCAATGAAAGTAATGGCAAAACTGAAATTACTTTTGCACCAACCTAATATTAGATTAGACATTTGAATGTGTTACAGAGATTTTAAACCTCAATAACTGATTTTTAAAAATCAGCATGCCATAAGACTGATCACATCATCAATACTAGTCTTATTAGTTAAAATATTCCTGAAAATGTACGAACCTTCATTAAAATTTATTTTTCTTACCTCCTGGAAAATAATCTATTGAAAAGCTACCAGGTCTTTATATGGTACCCTATAAGCTAGACATACAGGTTGTCTCATTCTAATCGTGACTGTTTTCAAATAAAAGCATCCTCCAGACATACTAAAGGAAACAGTAATGAAACCCAAACCACACCATCTCTAATATATGCTACTGCACTTGGAGTTTTTCCCTTTGAATTCTTAATTTAAAAAACCTTTTAATGAGAGGCAGCCTGAGTGTGAAGCTGTCAGTTCTATCCTTGTCCTTGATGCATAGCAAAAAAAAAAAAAAAAAAAAGGAGAGATTTCACTTTTAAAAGAGGCTCCAGTTTCTTGAGACATTTGTATTCAAACATGACTCTCTCTTTCTCCTTCTTTCTCCTGGGAAAACAGCTCTACTCTTCAAATGAAAAAGAAATAATAAAACACATCAGGAACAGCAGACCTCAGACCTAACGTTTCTCTCCTTGTCTTGGAATGTTATTTCCATATAGAAAGCTACTCTAATGGGACACTTGTAAATGGCAGGGAATTTAGCCCTTGTGGAGTCCTCTCCAGAAATTGGATTTTTGCTTAAGCAAACAGCAAACCATGCAGCGGGGGAAAAGCTATTTATTTGGCTGCCTGTTGAAGAGCCTTACAAAAATACAATTCAGTCTGCTCTAACCGTTGAGTCAATCGGCATGCATTGGAAAGCAAAATCCAGTTCCTTGTGTAAGGTATCAGGCATGCTCTTTCATGTAACAGTTAATCTGAAATACACTTTAATGATATTTTTCTTGATTACCCTTTTCTTAGACATAACGGCTTTTGCAGTTTACTTGCACATTAAGGAAGGGTAAAAAGGCTTATACAAGCTGCCAACTTCTACCCAGTCTTTGAGGGATTATTTAGAATCTTTACTGTTCAAATACAAGCAAATTTATACTAAGGAAAGTTAATCTTCAGTTTACGACATTTAATAATGTCATTCAAAACGACTTATGACAACAAGTTTAGCTTCTTAAATCAGATTTAGTTTCGAAAAGGTTCTTATGATTTATATAAGAAATGTTTCCAAATCTTCTCATTTCCTTTATAATGTATTAGACATCCTTCTACACAGTGATACTTTCCTTCTTTAAGCAAATATCCCTTTCCATCCGCCACCTCCTTCACCCCAAATCTTCTAATGTCTCCGAAGTACCATTCTAAAGGATAAGAGGACATATCTCTGCTGGAGGATCTTCTTTTAGGAATAAGAAAGATAAAGGTAGTTCTTAAGAGGTGACAGACCTACTAATTTAAGCTTTGTGAATATGTGCTTACACTTGCTAACATTTCAGTGTGTCCTTTGCAGAGAGTAGAACTTCTTTCACTGTATTTCTCAGAAACAGCTTTTCTATACTAAAATGATTTCCTACTTTCTACTAAGAAGTTTTATAGTTAAATATCAATGAAGCAATTGAATACTTCTATTGCTTTTTCCTCCCGCTCACCCCTCCAACCTATGAAAACTAAATATTTCACTGCAACCACCATTCTATACCCCAAAGGAGAGCATTGAACAATGGCAACTTTCTAGTCCAATATGTTCATGATTCAGGAAAGTAGAAGAGCCAGCTTTCTCTCATAATTCCATGCATGATCTATTCATGCAGACATCCTTGTTGTTGAAAAAAGTTGGAATGTAGATCATTTAGAACTATTGTGGCTGGCCATTTCCCAGGAATTATGGATATAATAAATATATATTCAGGTATATGCCAGGCAAATATTTAGTAAAAACCTGTTGGTTATATTATAGATACACAAGTTTTAAGTATTTGATATCCTTGATGAACATATAAATAATTTGTATATATATTTTGTAATGGTTTAGAACACATTCACATTAAAGCCCATTTTTTAAAATTGATATGGTCATATATGCCCATAGTAAACATGCAAATACCTCAAAAGGAATGCATTGGAATATATATTTCTTTAGCATATAGAAAAAGCCATGATTTGAATTGCATTAGGAAAGAAAAAGTTCAGCCTTCTCTTTCCTCCATGAAAACTAAATGATATCAAGCCTTACACATTACGAGTAAGAAATTTACACAAATTATATTGTTAACTGACATTTCCAAATTACAAATACTCTTTTCTAAATTTATGGAATACAATAAAAATTATCTTTGTTTTAGAAGTTGCAATTTTAATTGCTAAGATAAAATATGCAAGTAATAATTGAATTCAAGAAAATTATATGGTAACAAAGCAATACATGCACATTTCTTTAGAAGATTTTATTTGTAATTATTGGGTTTATACTTGTTCATTGTATAAATTCTTAAAAATACAAGAAGAAAATTAAAATCTCATATAATCCCATTTCACTAATCATCAAAATGTGCTAATTAAAACTACAAAAAAATACTATAACATGCCTGCTGGAATGGCTGAAATAAAAGATAAAGAATGGCAAGTTTTGACAAGGATGTGGAAAAACAAGAATCCTGCTCATGATAGTAGAAACTGGTGAAAAACACTGAAACTCTTTAGCACTTTTTACTAATGCTGATCATATCCATGCCTTATGACCCTATAGCTCCACTCCTAAGCCTATAAACTATGGACATGCATAAGTATGTGCACTGGAAGATATGAACATCAAGGATTTCATAGTGGCTATATTTGTAATAGATAAAGCTGCAACTACCCAAATGTTCATTAACAGTAGAGCTGGTATATATCGTGGTGTATTCATACAATGAAATACCGTAAAGCAATGAAATGCATGAATTACAATCTCACACACCAACATGGATACATTTCATGAACAATACAGCACTGGAGAAGCCAGACACAAATAGTACATGTGGCACTATTCCACTCATACAGATAATTCAAAAACAGGCAAACATGATTCATGGTGTTAGAAGTCAGAGCGGTAACTACATTGTTTTCAGGAAGCAGCAACTGGAAGAGGGCAAAGGTGGCACTTGGAGTTCATCAGGCTCCACACTTAGGATTGGGTATTTTCTGTATGTGTGATAATTTACTTCAACAATAGTTACAAAAGAAACTACATCCACTCAAACACAAAATGTTTTGTGTATTTATTTGCAAGTATTTACAAGGCATAGCTTAACTTAAAAATTGAAATCAAACATGGATAAGTTGTATTATGTTTTTTAATTGACAATATAATATGCATTTATCTTTGGTTGTTGAGGTCACTACTTTTATAGGTTCACAGTATTGGATTATATAATTAAAAACAATTAATTTAAAATCATTTCTCTCTTTTTGGATATTTAGTTTTCTTTGCATTTCAGTAGTATAAACATTCCTTCCGCAAACATCTTTTTATACTGCTGATTTTTCTTCAAGGTTAAATCTCAGTAGTACAATCACTGAGTTAAAAATACAAACAGGCCGGGCGTGGTGGCTCACGACTGTAATTCCAACACTTTGGGAGGCCGAGGCGGGCAAATCACTTGAGGTCAGGAGTTAGAGACCAGCCTGACCAACATGGTGAAACTCCGTCTCTACTAAAAATACAAAAATTAGCTGGGCATGGTGGTGAGCACCTGTAATCCCAGCTACTTGGGAGGCTGAGGCAGGGGAATTGCTTGAACCCAGGAGGTAGAGATTGCAGTGAGCTGAGATCGTGTCACTGCACTCCAGCTTGGGCAACAAAGCAAGACTCCATCTCAAAAACAGAAACATATATTGGGCTTTTCATATTATTGTCAAATTGAATTATAGAAGTATTCTTCCAACGGATACTCACATAATTGTTAGGAACAAAGAAATGAAAGTGTAAAAATCTTTACTACATGGTCGAAATAGGTTCATTATTATTATAATATGAATTACTTTAATTTTTATGTAGTTTAAAATGTTAATATATTTCATGGATAATTTTATTGTTTTCTGTAGCTAATTTCCATGCATGATCCATTTATTTTAGTTACGAGAGTTTTCTCTTTTTTGCATGCCTTTTTCCTTTTCTTGATTTGAAAGCATTCTTTAGCAATCATAATAACAATTTAATTTTTGCACCTGTTTTTTCCATTTATTTCTGTTTCACTTTGTTTATTGTTTTATAAGCAGGGAAGTTGGAAATGTGTAGTTCAGGATCTTACTGAGATTTTCCTTTAAAACTCCTCTATCTGGAATTTATTTTGGCAGCATTTGTAATAGTTTTATCAGTTACAGTAATTTCCCTCTTGCATGTGATTTGAATTAAGGTGTTCTTGATACACAGTGGCCCCAAAGTAGAAATTTAATAATTTTAAAAATAAAATTTTTGAAAAATAATGAACTGTGATCCCCATCAGAATTTTACAGGGGAGCAAATACAATTCTCCTTCAGAAATACAGAAGCTGGGTTTGAGTAGGCATTGCATAATAATATATCTTAATAATAAAATTATATTTAAGGTTGGAAACAGATTTTAGAATTTATCTAGATAAATCCATCACAGAATGATAGAATTCACTATCTAATATTCTTCCCGTTTGTCTTTGCTTTCATTTGGATGCACGACTTATAACTGAAAATACTCCAAGAACGGTCTCTGACTTTAGACGGGTCTAGATCCTAGTTTCAAGTAATGCCATTAGAAATCCCTGTCTTTCCAGCTCCTGCCTCTGCTTTCCTTTATCTTAGAGGCTGGATTCTCAGACAGGTTGTTCCCATAGATATGTTAAGATGGCTGGCGGAAGCTCCAGGTGTATATTCCTACAGCTGGGCAACCCGAGTAGAAAGAATCTCCTTTTCAATATTTCTAGCATATGTCTCGTAGATTGATTCACCCATCTTGTACTACTTTTCTACATCTGAACCAGTCTGTATGGCTACAGACGATCAGATTACTCATTGTCTACAACTGAATCACATGCCCACACCCAGGAACAAGAAAATGAGGTCCAACATTGAAAGCCAGACATTGATCTGAGAGTTGAGTAAGGTGGTTCCCTGAAAGAAAACCATTGTGCTATTATATGAAGAGTAAATATATTTGGGGCATGCAAAAACAAAAAGAGAGACAGAGAGACATCTCCTACATATATACAGGTTACTTTTTTTAATTACCCCAAGCGTCTACTAATACAGTTGCTTATTAAATCGATCAAAGTGCAGGAAGTGCATGTACTTATTAAATTTCATCATTACACTTCCTCTACTATTCTCACCATTTTAACTCTTAATGGATCATGTCTTCTGAATTAGGAAAAAATGAAAATCTAATCACAATTGGATTAATGTCCTTATGCAACTCATTCAGAAAATGTTGTGTAAAGGAATAAGTTTATACAAATTTAGAAGTGGAGCTGCACACAATATCTCTAAACAATTTTCTCCAGATTGTCACATATCATCTTTCATGAGGAACCTCATGATACAGATTTAGGACTAGTAGTTGTAAATCCACCTAATTATATCATCAAAGCATGCTTCTCCATTATGTCCTATAAGAATATAGTTAACTGTGTTATTAAGTGCCTTCTCAACTTTATTCTGTGTTTATGTAATGTTCTGTCAGTCTAGTTCCATTATCAAAAATACAATAAGCTAGTCTTGGTACAAACATTTTGATATTGGGAACTATTTTTTCTTTTTTTTTTAATTATACTTTAAGTTCTAGGGTACAAGTGCACAACGTGCAGGTTTGTTACATATGTATACACATGGATGAAGCTGGAAACCATCATTCTGAGCAAACTATCGCAAGGACAGAAAAACCAAACACTGCATGTTCTCACTCATAGGTGGGAAATGAACAATGAGAACACTTGGACATAGGGTGGGGAACATCACACACTGGGACCTGTCGTGGGGTGGGGGGAGTGGGAAGGGATAACATTAGGAGAAATACCTAATGTAAATGATGAGTTAATGGGTGCAGCACACCAACATGGCAACATGTATACATATTTTTGCTTTTCTAAACACTCATATATCATGCTTTTTTTGACATTTCTGCAAAATCAATTACAAGCTCTCTGGTCCACAGTTTATTTCATCCCAACTTCTTCATGTTTTAGAAAATATCTTCTTGTATAAAATTATTTTAAAAATTGAATATCTGCCAACAATCACATTTCTAAGTTTTATCAGGATCCTAGAATACAACTCCTCTCTATCTGAAGACTTGAACTCATTTAGATACGTTTTTAAAAATAATTTATTCACTTAGTTAGACTTCGATTATTGTTCCACATTTTGTAGTCTAGCAATCATTTTCTTGAAAAATAATATTGAATAAAAATAGTATTAGACTTTATTATACCATTTGCACTTCATCAAGCATCAGTTCTTTGCAGGGTTGTTGTTTCTATCATGAGTATTACAAAATTGCCCATTGTTACTTTTAGCATTCTTCACCAGCTTAATTCATTTTTATCTTTTATCTTCCTATTACCAGTTTTACAATCCAGTCATCCATTTCCCTTTACTTCTGTGGGTTCCCATCCTTTTGTATCCTGTTGTGGAGTTCTTTTTTACTGCTTTCCTGATTTCTTCTATGTTAGGATCTCTCCTAATTGTACTGTGATGTTATTTTTACGTCTCTCAAAATTCGTGCTGTAGCTTCCCCATCTGAAATGATGCATTATCCCCATAGGTTATTTTTCCTCTGATTTTTATAAAACTAGATTGAGCTATGCCCCAGATTCCCTAACTCAAATCTTATAAATTTTAGACAACATGTTTATTTGGTCATTTAGACTAAAAGAAAACATTTTTAGTGTGTAGAGTTCTAGACTTGAATTCAAATTCTTGGTGGGCTCTCTGCTATCTCTGTGTTCAGGGATCTATGACAAATAACTCTGGGTTTCATTTTTTTTCCTCTCATTTGTAAGGTAGGAATTAAAATTGAGTCACAGGAATCACATAGTATGATAAAGATCCTGCAAATAATAAATTAAGACACATTGAAGATAAGGCTGAAAGGGAATGAGAGATGGAGAAGCAACTTTTCCTTACATTTGTTTTTGCTACTAGTTCTATATTGCTCAGAATAGAAGTCAGCTTGTCATTTTCTCTGTATTCTAAAAAATTTAGTTCTTGGCAAGCCAATAATTTATTGTAAGTGCTGTTTTTAAGTTTAAAATATCGATGTTTTTTGGATTCCAAAGCAACACACTCACATTACAAAATGAATTTAGACATTTTAGAAATATAACTTGTAGACATGTAAAGACCTCCATAATTTCACTCCCAGGGATAATCATTATTGATGACTGCTAAAAAGCCCATGTATATTTTCTCATGTTTTTTCTGTATATTGACAAATAAACAGACTTATAAGAAGTAGGCAATGTGTTTACTCTAACACATCTTAGATATCTTTTCATATCATGATTTGTTGATTTGTTCATTCTTTTTAACAGGATGTACTACTGCCAGTGAAATGAAGTGATGTGTGACAGATATCTAGAAAGCTGAAGTGTCCCACTCCACTGGCTCTCACACCGTACCCATTTAGTAGAGTGTCTTACATTCCCATAAAAATATTTTTTTTTCTCTATTCTTTCTTCTGAGCTTTGGGGTTGGACCACACTCAATTGACAATAATCAATAATTTTGGATCCACTAAATGGCAGTATGCTATATGTTAAACTAATACTTGAGGGGGGAATAGCATGGTGGCTCATGCCTGTAATCCCAGCACTTTGGGAGGCTGAGGCAGGCATATCACCTGAGGTCAGGAGTTCAAGACCAGGCTGGCCAACATGGTGAAACCCCGTCTCTACTGAAAATACAAAAATTAGCCGGGCATGGTGGCGGGAGCCTATAATCCCAGCTACTTGGAAGGCTGAGAATTGCTTGAACCTGGGAGGCAGAGGTTGCAGTAAGCCAAGATCGTGCCACTGCAATCCAGCCTGGGGAACAGAGTGAGATTCCCTCTCAAAAAAAAAAAAAAAAAGCTAATACTTGAACTATTAATTTTGTCAGCCCACTTGTTACTCTCTCACACAATGCTTGACCAGCTCCCCATGTTGGTAGTATAAGATGCAAGAAGAGAGGGTGCTCACCCCTGATGCTCACAGGAAGACATCTAAATGGAAAACGAGTCTGTTGATTTTCCTCCAAATTGAGATAATTTTTCCCTCACCGGTGAAACTCACCAATTTGGAGTTATAAAGACATGTTTGTCTTTCTTCTCTTTCTTACTCTCCCTCTCCCCTCCTGCAATAAGTGGATGTTTTACTTCAACAAGCCATGCAACTTCAAAGTCTAAGGCTATTGGTCTCAAAGACTCTTTTCAGCCTAAAATGTCATGAATACTTCTACTCTGTCCAAGCCCTACGGATCAGCTTTTTTTGTAGGATTCCATTGCTTTGATCTTTGATGGATTACTGGCCGGATCAGAATTTCTGTGGAAGCAGATCTGAGAGCTTTTTGCTGTGGGGAGAAATTTTGGCAAGGTGTTTTTAAAAAATCTTGTTAGATATAGGACATAGCCTCTATGAATAAAATGATTTATTGTTAGCGTCAATAAATATTATCTAGATTATAATTTAATAATGAAAATGATTTCTGTATATCTAGAGACAAAGTATGATATGTCCAGACCATCATGAATTGCTAGTTTGATTGATATAAAAGCAGAGTGTTACACAATACTTCCTGACTGAGTAGAATAACTGTTGCTTATCTTTCTCTATTAAATCACATCAACAGTCAAATGTCCTATGTGTATAGAGTTTGCTAATTCCTTTATACTAAAAAAGTAGACTTAGCCCTTCTAGAATACGTTTATTTACTCCAGTCAAAAAAATAATTGACGTTTTGACTCTAAATTGCATTTTTAAAATTTCGTAATCCTAGTGTTGTTATGTTTTATTTTAATTTTCTGGTGGTCTTTTGATTTGTTTCTAGTACAGCAGAGAAACTTGCTTCTTTTACATTATGCTAGTTTGAAAAACATAATGAAAAATTCATTTCATTTATTTTTCATTGTTTTATATTAAGCATCCCATGTGGATTTGCATTTTGTGTTTCAAAACAGATTAGTGGAATGAGAATGACAAAGACTTATTTCATTTCCAACTGTTCTTAAATCACTTATATTTCTGCCTTATACATTTGTTACAGTGGTAGGAAACCATGACATGCTTTATACTTTTTAACTGAAGTCAAAACAGAAAACATTTTAATGGTGGGGTGGAAAAATCTCTCCAAAGACTTTGGTCCTGTTGTGGTATTTACATACTGATTCAATTAGAGCTAAGTGAATATTCACCAAGAAATAAAGTGGACTTTATAAATTTAGCCAGAAGGCAGGTGATGATTAATTGTTTGACTTCTTTATTTCCTGCTTAATACTGAATTGACTCAAATGCATTATAGAAAAATGAAGCAGTCAATTAGATTTTCCTTTCTTTACAGAAGGTATGAAAACAAAGTCATACTCTCTAAGCACTAACTAAAGTCAAAATTATGGTTTTTGGCTGTTCTCCTCAATATTCATTAGTGGTCTGGAGAGCAGGGGATAACTCACAAGAGGTCACTGAGGATGCCTAGTAATCTGATGGCTGAATTTGTGAATAACTGTGATTTTCCCCAGTACCAGTAGTATGGAAAATGGGAATGCCTTTCTTTACAACTTTTTCAAGCATTTATGGAGAAACCCAAATGCAAGTATGATACTTAAAAAATGAAGTGTTTCTAATGATGAGAGTTATATTTCCTTTCTCTTTGAACTAATTTCTCTAGTTCTTCCCATGGGGGTAGGATTGCACTATGTATTATAATTTAGCTTATATGGCTCTTCTCCCATGGAAAGTGACTTAGTAACAATTACAAAAATAATGAACATTTATGGAGTCCTTAATATATGCCAGGCCCGTTTTCTAAGCGTTCAGCATATATCATCTCATTTAATCCTTACAGTGACTTTATGTAGTTGTTGTTTTACATTCACATTTTACAAGTGAGGAACTAAACTATAAAAAGATTAC
Source organism: Homo sapiens (assembly GCF_000001405.40). Classification (NCBI taxonomy): domain Eukaryota; kingdom Metazoa; phylum Chordata; class Mammalia; order Primates; family Hominidae; genus Homo; species Homo sapiens. The sequence continues at coordinate 165,490,105 of NC_000005.10, forward strand.
AATGATTTTCCAAGGTCACAAGGCTAGCCAATGAGGGATCTGAGATTCAAATCCAAGAAACATGATTCTAGATCTTGGATTTTATTTTATTTTATTTTATTTTATTTTATTTTATTTATTTATTTATTTATTTATTTATTTATTTATTTATTTATTTATTTTTTGAGACGGAGTCTCGCTCTCTCCCCCAGGCTGGAGTGCAGTGGCGCGATCTCGGCTCACTGCAAGCTCTGCCTCCCGGGTTCACGCCATTCTCCTGCCTCAGCCTTCCGAATAGCTGGGACTACAGGTGCCCGCCACCACGCCCAGCTAATTTTTTGTATTTTTAGTAGAGACGGGGTTTCACCGTGTTAGCTAGGATGGTCTCGATCTCCTGACCTCATGCTCCGCCCGCCTCGGCCTCCCAAAGTGCTGGGATTACAGGTGTGAGCCACCACGCCGTGCCGATCTTGGATTTTTAATTGCCGTGTTGAGGCAGGCCTTCTCTGCCACTCCACGTGAAATAGCAATCACTCCTCCTACCCCACTACCATCCAATTTGCTTTCTGCATCCTCTTTTCTTGTCTCTGTTTCTCCATTATATAGCTTTAATGGTTTACGTGTTTATTTTGGCCTTTTTCTCTTTGAATTTTATGTCCTTGTGGGACACGGTTTCTTTGGCTCTTGGTTATATCCCAGTTTCCTAGAACAATGTCTGGCTGAAGTAGGACCCCAATAACAATTACACGTATAATGAATATACATCTCAGGAGATTCCCAGCTGGGATAGAACTGAGATGGTTCAGGGAGGATTCAAGACTTTCACAATAATGAGCTTTAGATAAATAGATTATTAGATAAGATGGAATGAGGGGAATTTTAGGACTAATGTGCCATGGTGGCCAACAAGTGGGATCAAACCAAATAAGAGCATGGATCACCAGCGAGTGCTAGGAAGTAGGTATGATACTGAGTGAGACAGGCTAGAAATCTGCTTCTAAGGCAAGCATCATAGATGTTCCAAGAAATGTATTTGCTTTACAAGACATGAAGTTAATGATGCCCTTTGTCATAGCTATTTTCAGTCTGCATGGCTAGCTCTAGGCTGAACAAATTATTCTCCGTCTTGAAGAAACAGCTCCCTGCTGTCTAAGGCTCTACTTTCAACACCAAGGACTTCTTGTTTCCTATTTCCTTACATTGGAGAAATCAGGAATTTGGTCTTTGTACCCTCTGATTCTTCTTTTGGAAGTCCTCTTTTGCCAATGGTCTGACATGCCTCCAGGAATAGATTTGGGTCACTCTCATCCTTTCTTTGATGAATAAGAATATTACTCATCTCTGCCAGGTGGTGGAGGCTCACTCCTGTAAATCCCAGAATTTTGGGAGGCTGAGGTGGTAGGATTGCTTAAGCCCAGGCGTTCGACACCAGCTCGGGCAATAGCGTGAGACTCCATCTCCACAAAAAATAAAAAACAAATACCTGGGCATGGTGGCACATTTAGTCCTAGTTACTTGGGGTGCTGAGGTGGGAGGATTGCTTGAACTTGGGAGGTTGAGGCTGCAGTGAGTGGTGATTGTGCCACTACATTCCAGTGTGGGTGACAGAGCAGGACCCTGTCTCAATATTTTTTTAAAGAATATTAGTCATCTCTACAAAACAGGCTAGAAAATATTTATGGCAACAGACTATTAGGCTAAGATCTTTGTTTAAGATCAATCTACAGATTAAAAGATTAATCACAAGTCAATTAATATGCTTTTAGCAATTTCTATTCAAGACATTGGTAGGCATTTGAAGAGAGACAAAGGATAATATCTTGGTCTCTGTCCTCGAGAATGTGATGGTTCAAGTTTAAAGAGATAAGTAGTGTATAAATAAGTAACTCTATAATAGAATAGAACGTAATTTTATAGCAATAAACAGTACAAAAAAATTCATTTTGACTCAAGCAATGCATTCCAAGGAAGGCTTTAGTATATCCCTCGAGTTAAAGTTAGGCCTTGAAAAATAGTTTAGCAATCAATAGACAGTAAATGAGAAGGAAGGCATCCCAAGTGAGAAAGAACAATACAGTGTGAGCATGTGGACTTTTATTGGCATTCTTTTTTTTTTTTGAGATGGAGTCTCACTCTGTCTCCCAGGCTGGAGTGCAGTGGTGCGATCTCAGCTCACTGCAACCTTCGCCTCCCGGGTTCAAACAGTTCTCCTGCCTCAGCCTCCCAAGTAGCTGGGACACTACAGGCATGCACCACCACACCCAGCTAATTTTTTTGTGTTTTTAGTAAAGACGGGGTTTCACCGTGTTCGCCAGGATGGTCTCGATCTCCTGACCTCATGATCTGCCCGCCTCGGCCTCCCAAAGTGCTGGCATTACAGGCGTGAGCCACCGCGCCCGGCCAGTGGCATTCTTTATTAATATCTGCTTTCCCTCTAGACTGTAACTTACACAGAGGCAGGGTCTCTTTCCAGTTCTGTATACCTCCACATTGGCGCTCTCCAGATTGGAGAAGTTAAGTGCTTCATTAAGAGTTTGTAAAAGGATTCACAAGAAAATGAATGTTTGAAAAGTATGAGAAATACTCCAGAATATTAAATAGACCTGTTTGAAGCAGATATAACCATTAATAATTAATAATAATTACTTTTATTGAGCCCTTGTGTATCAAGCATCAACCTAAACATTTTATGTGTTAACTCTTTTAGTCCTCAGAACATCCCAGTGTGTTAGGTACTTTCATTATCTCCCTTTTATCCTTGAGGAAAATGAAACAGAGAAGTAAAGTAACTTCCTCTGGGTCGCACAGAAATTACTGTTAAAGCAGTAATTCCCATCCTATCTATCTGCACCTAGTCTATCTGCACAGTCTGTGCTTTTAAACCTGTACCATACTTCCTCTTATAGATAAAACTGAAAACATAGATTTGAACATTTTTTGTTTGTTTGTTTGTTTTTTGAGACGAAGTCTCTCTCTGTCGCCCAGGCTGGAGTGCAGTGGCACAATCTCAGTTCATCGCAACTTCCACCTCCTGGGTTCAAGAGATTCTCCTGCCTCTGCCTCTGGAGTAGCTGGGACTATAGACATGCTCCACCATGCCTGGCGAATTTTTGTATTTGAACATTGTTTAAGGTCATTAGATGACAAGGTATAATAAAAGAGCTTGTGGGTTTCTTTTTTCATGTTTGTTTCCCATTTTTAATGGAAGGGATTACCAGAAGTCTATAAAAATGTATAGCTATACAAAGATATCTTGCAGCAGTATGTAAAATGGGTGAGAGGGAAGAGTAATGGAACTGGAGATAGCACTTACATCATGGGATGAGAACATGGACCCAAGAGATGGTGATAACTGTATATGCATGAAGAAAAATGTGCTATGATAAAAGTTGGAGAAATAATGATTCAAATATTACTCTTGTTTTCACACTTGAATGTAGGAAAAGGGATGGTAGTCTAATTATGAATCTAGAAAACACATAACTTGGGGCCCATTTTAGGAAAAATATTAAAGTGGACAAGACTGGTTGAGTCTGCAGTAACTTCATAAAATCTAAACAGATGTGAATACCAGGTAGTGCAAAAAGTTCAGATAATTTCCATAGTTTAAAAGGGAAATACCTGTCATTTCAGTGAACTTGATGCTTACTTTAGTAAACTTATAATTAGATCTCAGACATAGAAAGTGCAGATTAACAAAATATTTATGGGAGAAAAAATATTCTAGGAAGCAAATTTTGGACAGTGAATAATCATAATTTTAAACACTGCAATCCACCTTAGAAATAATCTAGTCCACACACCCCGATTTACTAATGAGATACCTGAACCTTAAGGAGATGAAGAAGTATTCTAAGAAGGACAGCATTAGTGAGAAAAAGTTGGTCTCATCCTCCAGGTTAATGGTAATTCCACTGGGAAACCAAGTACGCCGATGACGCCATCTTGTAATCAACCTCCTACCCTCTCTTCCTACCTGTAGTGGATACTGCTACAAGTTCTTCTTTGCTGGATAGGACACCTATCCCCCAGCTACTATGTATAGTGATGCTAAATGGCTCACAGATGCACTTTTTTTCTGGAAAATAGCCTTTGCCTGAAGGAAGTCACCTCACACAGAGGTGTGAGGAGTTTATGCTCTTCTTCACACCTCTGTCAGGGTAGACAACTGTCAATATTTAGCTGATAATGCCTGTTCCCTTCATGTCAAGATGCAACAACTCTGGAGTGTTTCTCATTCTCCAAAGCATCCTGTGGGATCAGGCTAAGGTTAGATTTTAGTGGATCCTACATGTTTGCTTGGATTTTTTCCACGCCCCTTTGGCCCTTCTCACTTCCACAGAGGTTTCTGTTGTTTCAGAGAGCACTCTTCTCAATACATCTGTGCACAGGCGTTCCCATTTCAGACTCCACTTCTCAGGAGCCCAGTCTAAGACAGTAACCAATCTTCAGACTTAGAGCTTCACTTATGGCTGCTGAGTGCTAACATAGAACTGTTTGGTGATGCAAACTGTGCTGTATTTGCTGGAGTCTGAGCAGTTGATTATGGGGTCTTTAGAGGCAGTATGACCAAGCAGTTGACTAAGAGTTTGGGTTCTAGAGTGAGAGAGTCTGAGTTTAAATCTCAGTGTGGGACAACTCAACTTCTGTGCCTTTAAAATAATCTACTTGCCTCATGAAATTTTACTGATAGGAAATAACAGCAAAAAAGGAGCAAAACTTAGCCATAGTGATTTTGAGTGAATAATTGGAAGTGGTAACAAGTAATGTTCCTACCCAGATTATATCAAGAGCAAAATAATTATAGGATATTTACTTATCATTTAAAATAATTTAAATCAATGATACAATCCTCTAAGTGACTAGTCAATAATTTTATTTTTAAGATATTACTCTGTTCTGTGTGGGGCTGGAGATTTGGCAGTTACAGTGGGGAATAATAAAATAATAAAAAAGAAATCAATTTTCTTCATCACTCACCCCACAAAATATTTTTGCTTACCTTTGATGGGTGGGTAGATGGGTGTTTTCAAGGATGGCTTAACGTATACATTTTCCAAAAACAATTGAAATGAAAACGGAAACATTGCCAGTATGAGACACCAGGTTTTATGAACATTAGCATATACTTATTTGATCAATTTTTCTTAATGTACTAAGAAATTTTCATCTTTTTTATCCATAAATAATGCGTATTTTTGTGTTTAAGGTCTGGAGATGAGAAAACAAAAGAGTAGACAGTAAGTGACCTAAAATTTTAACCTCTGATTTAAACCTCTGTATATTGGCGTTATCACAATAATTTTTAGTCATGAATAATTTCTAGCCTGAATCAAAATGAATAAATACATATTACAAAAAAAAGGAGAAAAAGAAAAAAAGGAGGGAAGGGAAAACAATATCAGTGAATATGACATAAACACCCATATGGTCAAAAGATTACTTCAAATGCATTTAGGAAAAAAAAAGGGGGGGTGTTCTAATCAGCTCTCCTGGGTGATTGATTTTTAGTCGTTTCTATGCCCTTACCACATGGTATCTGGTGCCTGATCAATTATTAGTTTGAACATGGAGTACAGCTTTTTAGAGAGCTATCAACCCCCTTGAAGTAAATTGTATCCTGTGGCTAAAATTTGACATGGTTCAGGAAACACATACATTGTATATTCTTCAGCAGTGGGTTGCTATTTCTCAGACCCCTCTGAGGCATTTACATCCTCAGTGTTTGAGCCAAACTTTTGAGGGCTTGGATTCTTTGAAAACTTCAAATGCTCTGTGCTGTTATCAGACCAGTGGTGAAACTGATCTCAAAGTCCACTATTAAAACTCCCCTCAAAGACATTTTCATTAGAACTTTGTACATGGGCAGTTCAAAAGATCCAGCTATTGGTTTTTGTTCAGAAGTCTTGTCTCCACTTTCATATTACGCAACTTTTTTGACAGACTTTCAAAACCCACAAACTGTGGGCTGCCTGCAATTCCAGCCAGGATTTTATGCTGCTCATTTGATTTCCTCCGGCCACATCCTTCTCGTGTCCTTGTCAACATTGCAAGGAGAATAGCCGTCTTAGAAGATTTGCTAAAAAGCAGAAGCAATTTCACAGCAATGGGAGAAAAAAAAATATCTGACCTTTCCATGCACACACACACAAAAACCTCACTTAAGCAAATAACATTTTTAGCTGTAAAATTTCGTTGAGACATTTATTTATCAGACACATAGATAATCAGGGTGTTTATCTCTTTTCACTGTTTAAAATTTCATAAAAGGAGTCAGGAACCAATGTTTGTAAATTGCAGCAAAGGGCCTCTAGCCTATGCGCTCAGCACACATTTAGTGGAATTATCTACTGGAGAGTAAGTGGTAGAAGCAGCTGAGGAATTAATTATTGGGACAGATATTTTATATCTATCTGTCAGTGCAATCTGAAATAAGACTTGCCTCCATATTACTTCTGTCACTTTGTCTGGCCTTTCAAAAGTGGCGGTTTCTGAAAAGACAGAGAATTGAATCATGTATTTGGCCATGATCCATAGTGTGAACATTTCAAGGCCCCTCAGTTCATTCTGAATGGAATAATTTGGGTGGGGTGTATAGAGTTTACTTGTGACATGATTAAGTGGTAGCCTAATCAGTTTACATAGGGTGGGGGACCTCATTGGTCTCAAACAGAGATATAAATATAACTTTATATGTTACAATAAAAAGCAAACTTCATAGAAAACCCTGTGTAGCTTTTTTACCCACACTTGAGTTTTCTGGGAATATCATGATTCCTTATTACTTGACATAACATTTTACCACATGATTACTACATATGGTAAGTACTATATATGATTACTTGTATGTTAACCACCATATTATAGATTTGACTTGCATTGTCTAACGTCATTCTCTTAACAACCACTTGAAGTAGATGGTTTTAATATTTTCATTTCATAGATGAGGGAACAACGGCTGAGAGAAATTTAAAAAATTGTTCAAGATCCATAACTAGTGAATTTTGAAAATGAGACTGGGTAAAAGTGTTATAGTGATTAAAAGAGTAAGCCAGAAAATATGCAAGATCTAAAGTTCGACACAGCAAAAAGAAGTCTGGAATTCCAAAATCCACATATAAGAGCACGGTTAAAATATTGCATTCCTTTGGGAGGCAACATAAATTCTCCTCCATTTACTTGAGCCCATTTTTCCCCAAAATGTCTAAAAGACCCATGGAAGAAAAGAGAAGACCAGTAAAAGCACATGAAGCAAACTCTTCAATATTTAAAGCAGAAATAATATTTTCATCAAAATATTAGTTCCCCCTTGTTATTAAGTTAAAAATTAGCTTGTTATCAAAGAAAAATAGAATTTTTCGTATTGATATGAGTGCTTTAACTGCATGCTTCCTCTCCTTCTTTCCCGACTCTGCTACCCCACAAACTTAACTTGTACTCTACCATACAATGACAACCAGACAGTGAAACATGGTCTCATTTGGGTTTTCTTGTCAACCTTTTCAAGGAAGTATTGGGAGCGCAGTAGGTTTACCTCACACAAAGCATTGTATCCAAGGCCAGTTTTAAAATGTCAGATAGTGAAGAGTTCCATGCTGCCACAATTCAGGATGCAGGTGGACACTGGTGAACCCTCAGATGTGTCTCTTTCAGATCAAATGTAGAAAACGTACTGTTCCTATAAAAAGCTGTTAGCAAGTTCATGAACTTGACAGCACAGGGCAACAGTTTCCTATTGTGGGAAGAAATGAAAGCATACTATACCCGGTTTTCCTGATGCTTCTCTCGTATTTGATCCTTTTGAAATCATGTTCGTACTCCCCCTGCTGGACTTAATCAGGTCTAAACAAATGAGTTTGGGTGGTTGCAGCCTGTTGACCTGTGGATGACACACTTTACATCAAGTTGCCCGGGAGTTCTGTTCCTTTATGCCTAGTTAAGTAGAAATCAGTCATTTGAGGCCAATAACCATCTCACCCTTTTGGTACTGTGTGTTGAAACTTATAAAAGAAGGGCCAAATTCAGTATCGTTTGGATTAAGTACTTTCACTTCTGATAAAATATCAGAAACAAAAGAAGTGCTCCTATAAAATGAAAATATTACAAGGGTATGATTCAAGAAAATTTGTGAAACCATTAGATTTTTTTTTTTTTTTACTTTGAGGTACCAAAAATTTATAGAGTATTTGAGGTATAGAAAATCATACAATAATTTCAAAGAAGTGGTACTCATTATACATTTCTTTTTAACTCCCTTTAAACTAATATGTATATAAATATATTTTTTCAATGTTCAAAATAAACATTAAAATAATGATTTCTTCGTTATTGGATTATTAAAATTACCAGTGATTTAATGAATAGCCTCTGTGAGTCAGGCTCTGAACTGTGCTCTGCAAATAAATAACAGTAGATCAACTAACACGAACACTCTCGAGCTCTGAGTAATATATTTTTTAAAACTTGGATCATTTTGGCCGGGCGTGGTGGCTCACGCCTGTAATCCCAGCACTTTGGGAGGCCGAGGCGGGCAGATCACGAGGTCAGGAGATCGAGACCATCCTGGCTAACACGGTGAAACCCCGTCTCTACTAAAAATACAAAAAATTAGCCAGGCGTGGTGGCAGGAGCCTGTAATCACAGCTACTCGGGAGGCTGAGGCAGGAGAATGGCGTGAACCCGGGAGGCGGAGCTTGCAGTGAGCCGAGATCGCGCCACTGCACTCCAGCCTGGGGGAGAGAGCGAGACTCCTCTCAAAAAACAAAAACAAAAACTTGGATCATTTTATTGATCAAACAGTTCTGTGGACATTGCCCCGGATCAAGAATAGAATTATTGAATATTTTAATGCAAATGACAGGAGATTCTTTTTCCGTTGTCATATTCCTATCTCTTCTAGTTCCTGCATCTTCCTAGCAGGGTAACAGCAAATGCATGGAGGGGAGGAAGAGTCATCAGCTTGCCACTGGTATTTTCAGTGCTTATTTGGGGACTTTGACCTTGGAAGACTCCTATCTTATCCTCGTGAATCTGAGACACTATGTGACATTTATCCCCTCGTAAAATTACTGATGGGTTTTAGCTTGTTTCTCACACTTCCAGAGTGCTTTGGAGGGTTCTTGGTCATCTTCAGCAGATGTGATAAAGGCCAAAATTCCACAGATTCTACCGATCAACTAATAAGAGCAAGACAAAATATTATAAATTAAAGCGGGAAGTTCATCCAGGTTGTTCTGCTTTAAAGAAATAAAATTACAGAATGATAGATTGCTTAACTCTTGGAGGAGAAGGAGAAAAAGGATAATTATAGGAGCAACTTAGACTTCACACCGCTCACACTTAAATAGATTTCAGATTAGCTATCTCCATTTCTCTGCCACAGTCAATGTGCATCACTTTGTGTAATCTTTGTGATGATCCTATGGGATTCATATACATCCCAATATTAAGTCCTATACTTTTTAGAATGCCTCAAAGAGATCTTCCCTGACTGCCTTTTCAAAAGCAGCATCATTTTTATTTTCTATGTCTTTTGTTTTTATATGATTAAGCATTTTTTAAGAAATTTTTTTCGCTTACATTTTGAAATAAAGTGATTTTGGCATTATGGCTTTCTAGTGTCTTTTTTTTTTTTTCTATTTTAACGATTAATTGAACAAGTTTTTCACTTTGAATATGGGTTTCCTGAGCACCTGGAAGCCTACCAGGCATGTGTTCAATGCTGAATAAATAAATAAACCAATAAATAAATCAGTAAATCCTACTAGTTGAGGCAACAGAAAAATCTGGAACATTATTATGCAAATGTCAAGAAACTCTTGTCTAATCCACCTGGAAAAGAAAATGTTGTTACCTTTGCAAAAAAAATAATGAGGGATCTTATAACTTTACAATAGACAGTGGTCTTTGAACCAATGATGGAAATAATAACAGATTTACTGAACATATCCAATGTGCCAGACACTGTGTAAAACATTTGTAAGACATGTCTTTGAATATGCACAAAATTCAAATTTCAGTATTTAATAAAAAATGAAAATTAGTAGAATGGGTAGTCCAGCTCAGTATCAGACCACTGCAATAAATCAAATATCCCACAAATTTTTTTGATTTCTTAGTGCATATAAAAGTTACGTTTAGACTGTAGTCTACTAAGTGCGCAATAGCATTATATCTAAAAACACAATGTACATACCTTAATTAAAAATGTATTGCTAAAAAGTGCTTACAATCATCTGAGCCTTCAGCAAGTTATAATCTTGCTAGTGAAGAAGTTAGCCTCAATGTTGAAGGCTGCTGACTGATCAGGGTGGTGGCTGCTGAGGGTTGATGTATCTGTGGCAATTTCTTAAAATAAGGCAACGGTGAAGTTTGCACATCAATCAACTCTTCTTTTCACGAAAGATTTCTTTGTAGGGTGCCATGCTGTTTGATAGTGTTTTTACTCACAATAAAACGTCTTTCAAAATTGGAGTCAATCCTCTCAAATGCTGCTGCTGCTTTATCAACTAAGTTTATATAATATTCTAAATCTCTTATCACTTCAACAATGTTCACAGACTCTTCACTAGATTTCATCTCAAGAAAGCACTTTATTTGCTCACTCATGAGCAACTCCTCACACATTACAGTTTTATCATTAGATTGCAGCAAATCAGTCACATATTTAGGATCCACTTCTAGTTCTAATTCTCTTACGGTTTCTACCACATATGCAGTTACTGCTTCCACTGAAATCTTGAATACCTCAAAGACTTGCATAAGGTTGCAATCAACTTCTCCCAAATTCCTGTTAATGTTGATATCGTGGCGTCTTCCCATGAATCAGAAATGTTCTTAATGGCATCTTGAATGGTGAATCATTTTCAGAAGATTTTCAGTTGACTTTGCCAGATCCATCAGAGGAATAACTATCTATGGAAGCTATAGACTTACAAATGTATTTCTTAAATAGTAAGACTTGAGGGTTAAAATTATTCCTTGATCAATGGGTTGTAGAATGAATGTGGTGTTAGCAGGCGTGAAAGCAACATTAACTTCCTTGTACATCTCCAACAGAGCTCTCAACTGAGGATAGGTGAATTTCACAAGTAATATTTTTAAAGAAATCTTCTCATATGAGAAGTAATATTTTTTAAAAGCATTTTTTTTCTAAGCTGCAGATCTCAACATTGGGCTTCAAATATTCAGTAAAGCATGCTGTAAACACATGTGCTTTCTTCTGGCTTTGTTGTTCCATTTATAGAACAAAGACACAGTCAATTTAACATAATTCATAAAAGCCCTAAAGTTTTTGAAACAATAAATGAGCAATGGCTTCATCTTAAAGTCACCAGCTGCATCAGCCTTTAACAAGAGACTCAGCCTGTCCTTTGAAGCTTTGAAGCCAGGCATGGACTTCTCCTCTTTAGCTAGGAAAGTTGTAGATGGCATATTTTTCAATAGAAGGCTGCTTTTATCTCCATTGAAATCTGTTGTTTAGTGTAGCCACCTTCATCAATTATATTAGCAAGATCTTTGAGGATAACTTGCTGCATCAATGATCTTAGCTAGACCTTTAGGATAACTTAGTGTAGCTTCTACATCAGCAATTGCAGCCTTACCTTGCATTTTTATGTTATGGAGATAGCTTCTTTATTTAAACCGATTAACAAACCTCTGCTAGCTGCAAACTTTTCTTCTGCAACTTCCTCACCTCTCATAACCTTCATAGAATTGAAGAAAGGGAGGGCCTTGCCCTGAATTAGGCTTTGACTTAAAGGAAAGTTGTGGCAGGTTTAATCTTCTATCTTGACCACTAAACCCTTCTCCATATTAGTAATGAAGCTGTTTTGCTTTCTTTTCATTCATGTGTTCACTGGAGTAGCAATTTTAATTTCCTTCAGGAACTTTTTCTTTGCATTCACAACTTGGCTATTTGGTGCAAGAGGCCTAGCTTTCAGCCTAATTCAGTTTTTGTCATGCCTTCCACTAAGCTTTATTATTTCTAGCTCTTGATTTAAAATTAGAGATGTGTGACTCCTTCCTTTCACTAGAACACTTGGAGACCATCATAAAGTTATTAATTGGCCTAATTTCAATATTTTTGTGTCTTGGGGAATAGAAAAGCCTGAGACAGAGAGAGAAGGGGAAGAGCTATTTGGTGGAGCAGTCAGAATACATACACATTTGTCGATTAAGTTTGCCCTCTTCTATGGGTGTAGTTTGTGGTGCCCCAAAACATTTACTAAGTTAAGTAACCTCAAAAATCACTGATCACAGATCACCATAACAAACAAAACAATAATGAAAAAGTCTGAAATACTGTGAGAACTACCAAAATGTGACAGAGACACAAAATGAACACGTACTGTTTGGAAAAATGGTGCCAACATTTACTCTGAAGGGGATTGTTTCCAGGGTGCCCACAGATACCAAGATCCATAGATGTCCAAGTCCTGTACATAAAATAGTGTAGTATTTGCATATAACCTGTGTACATCTTCTTTATCTTTTAAATCCTTTCTAGATTCTTATAACACCTAATAAAATGTAAATACTCTTCAAATAGTTGATATACTATATCCCTTAGGGAATAATGACACAAAAAGTGTACATGTTCAGTACAGACACAATATGAAAATATATATATTTTAAATCCCCAGTTGGTTGAATTAATGGATACAGAACTCATGAATAAGGAGGGCTGATGGCATATGTTTTTTGAACAAAACAAAAGGAAACATTAGATATAGGAAGTTCTCCTTTAAAATAAACTACAACTGACTAAAGTAAATTCCATTTTAAAATGACTAACATCAAGAAATTCTTCAGAAATCAAGTTAATAGCTCCAGTTCAAAAAACACCAAAAACCATTTTTATGCTCTTTTTTAAAAAGTCAAATGATGACATTTATTCTATTTTATTGATTTAATAGGGCATCTCACAGAACGGTGGAGCTGGAAGGTTTTTTTCACGTTAATCTCACTCGATTTCCGCTCTTTGTAGATGAGGAAACTGGGCAGGTTGATATATGCGTATTGGAGCAGGCATTGTGAACCTGTATATTGTGGTATCTAAGAGACAGACACATTAAAAAAGGATTATGAAGCTGTAAACTCATTCTCTTTTCCTCTTTGAGATTATAATTTATAGGAAGAGGGAAGATGCCATGCTTATCTCCTAAGTCTTATTACTCAGGCTCTTTTCACTTTCATTTTCTGATATCACGGTTGTAAAAAATGCACAAGCGTTTTTAGAAAGCAAGTCATGAATTTTCTATGTGTCTAACTACCATCTCTCCCATCATAGGACAAACTGACAATCTGTGCGGAGTGTTGCAGATTCCTCACTGCCACAATAACACATGCCTCTAAAAATGCCATACGGGTCTTCTTCCTGCTCCCCTTGTTGGGAACAAAACTGATACAGAAGGTTTGGGCTGTGAGTCAAGAAAGTAGATAAACAAACGGAACTAACAGTTGGGAGTAGGATTAGAGAAAATGTTCTCCTGAGATTGCTATTGTTAGGAGAATGGATAAGACTGTTAACAATAAAGGAAAATAAAGCAATGCACACACACAAAAAAGACAAAGTCTAAACGTGCTGCCAGCAAATAGGGCAAGAGAAAAAATTGGGTGCAGTGGGAAAAAAAAAATCATTATTTTTCCCCCCTTGAAAAGTGTTGGCTCAGCTTGTATGTTGTTCTTTTAATTTTCTCTTTTAAAGTTATGTTAATTTCGTTTACAGAGTAATTATTCATTCATGGCTTTCCCTAGGCATCTAGTTGTTTATGGAGTCATGTATTGTTCAGACACAATTTTTTCCTACTTTGGCCCATTTTGAGGCAGGTTAAATGAAGTGGGAAGTTGTCATTTGCTGGTGGGAACTGATAAATCTGGGAGCCAAAAAATATAATTTGAGCTCAGTGAACATTTTCTGTAAGATCTCTTTTAGAGGATAGAGCAATGGTTGATTCCTGATTTCTTTGAATATTGACTACAAATTAGTCCATTAAAATAAGTGGTCAAATACAGAAACAAAGCAGGCAAATCAGCTATTGGAAATCTTATAAACATCAATACTAGAAACTGTTCAATTGACAAGTAAACTATGCTTAGGAAAAGATGAAGTTCTGACCCATGGAAGGCCTTTGTTTCTCATTCTAAAAATGATGATGTTGAATTCGATTATCTAAAAGGTCTTTTTCACTTCTAAATTTTAGATATGTTTAATTAAAACTTGTATTATTGAATACCACTAGGGTAAAAGAAAAAATTTGAACAGTTAAACTCACGACAGGATTTGACATCTGCCTTACTGATTGGACCAAAACAGCTAAATTTATAATCTATAATACTGCATTTCAGACTAAAGCACTTTATTTTCAATTTAACCTAGTAGTTCACATGCTGTTTTAAATTAACATTTGCCTATCAATATTCATGAGATATCTTTATCTTCTCCCCCCAGAAAAGAGCAATTCAGCCAAATATCAGTTAAGATATAATTTAGAACAACTGGAAAATATGCATAGTCTGATTATTCAGTGAAATACTCTATATAGTCATAAATTGATATCAAAATGCCTAGTATTTTAACAAAATTTGATTTTAAACATCAGAGTAACACATTTATAAAACAATTTAGAAGAAGTTAAAGAGGTTTGAACCCTAATTTATAGTCTAGGTCTCTGATTCTTAAAGCTCTGTGAAACCATGAAAGACTCAGTGGAAAATTGCCCAGAGTTTTAACTTCCAGCCTTGTAAAACCGAGCAACATCTTTTTCTTCCATGTTCTCATAGTTTCTGAAAGGAAAAAGAAGGTTTCCAGATTTCAGGCAGTGGAAGAACACCAACAAAAGGAAAGAGGTTGGCAATGGTAAATTGAAGCAGGAAGCCAGATATTTACCCTTTTAACTGGGACACTTTGTCACAGGGCTGAATGAAGTAAATCAGCATTAGGCTCTGAGAAGAGAATCTTTGTTTTAGTAAACATAGACAGAAAGAAAACTTGCTGGTAGTAAAATATATACAGTAGCTTAGTAACTTAATAGATTATGGATCATGTGTATGTGTGTGCATGTGACTTTTCTTCTCTTGAAAATATGGCAACTTGTACTTTTGAACTGAAAAGGAATCCTGTGTTATTAATAACTAATGAAGTATTTTAATTCTGAAACTGACAGAGGTAAGAGGAGAGTTAAGGTTTAAACTGTGAAGATTTCAGGCTTTTAGGGATTTTTATCCAGATCCCTCACCTTTCTACAATATAGCTTTCAAGTGTGAGTATAATTAACACTTCTCCAAAATAATTTTCTTACTGTTGCCTAAATTATCATCCATTTGCTACTTAAGTCTGAAACATTATTCCTTAATCTCCTAATTGTCTTATCCTTTTTGTTATTTTTCTTCACATCAAGGAGGAAGTTGGTTCATTTGTATAGACTACTCCTTTCTTGTCAGAGTGATATCTCATTGGCATTTTTTGATGTATTTTCCTCAGTAAAATTGTTAAATTTATCCATCTTATTTTATTATATAGCTATCATCTGCTTTAATTTAACATGATAAAAACATGCCTCTCTCACCTTTAAAAATATTATTTATTAATCCAAGCACCTCACACCTTTTTTATAAGCCAATACGTGAGGCACCTGAATTAATTCTAATGGGCTAAGGTGTAAAGGCTTTTGAAAATTAGCATCTACTTCATAGCTAAATGTAAGGTAATGTGGCTCATAATAAGCCCTTGAACACTTCTGAAAAGGAAAATGTGCAGCTTGCAATTTTAATGTAATAGTCTTTAGTAATAAATGCACTCCCCTTCCAGTTCCTGTCTCCATCTATTCTTCCCACTTTTGGGAAAGAGGAAATGTTATACCCAGTCTAAACACGGATATTGACAAAAGGTGTCTTCAGACTCCTTATCCTGCCAGATATTTACTGTTTTCCTTACTTATTACACCCTGAGGCAGACACCCAACATAAAAATACTCTGTTCTCTCTCTTCTGTTTGTCTTTAAAAAGCCACTAATAATTGCATTTTCATAAAGAGTAAACAACTGGCAAAGGCTTCAATTTTTACTTCTTGAATAGGGCATTTCATTTTGTAGAGAAAAACCTTTCAAAATCTATGAGTAGGTATCTAATGTTGAATTCTTATCCATTAGTCTTTCAGTAAAGGAAGTCAAACCATTGCCCCTGAAACTTGTGATAAATTCTGTAACATTCATAATAAATAGCATCATAATTCATGAAATTTGACATAAATATGTAGTACTACCTAATAAAAGACAAAACTAAATTTAAACAATTTGTGACTCTAGATCCTCAATTAACTGCCACTGACAGCTTACCTTCTTTTAACCTTTTGTATTGTCCTAATTTCAGTCTTTAAAAATTTCTGCTTGTTATTCAGTTACTTCCTCAGATAAGGCTTTCCTGATTTGAGAGACTGGATCCAAACTCATGCAGTATACCTATAGTACCTTGTAAGTGTTCTTCATGGTGTCTATTAGAAAAGAAATTTTATACTTCTTTGTGTGTTATTTCTATAATGTCCTTTTTATTCACTTTTTTGTTTAGAAATGTTTATTTCACCTTCATTTTGAAGTTATTTTCGCTAGTATGATTCTTGGTTTAATTCACCTTCATTTTTGAAATTACTTTTGTTGCTATAGAATAGAATTCAAGGTTGGCTGTGATTTTCTTTCAGTATATTAAAGATGGCATTTCCATTATCTTGCTACATTCATTATTTTTTTTTGAGAAGTTACATGTTAATTTTCTTGTTGGCAGTTTGTTACTAATGTATCTTTTAAATGGTACTCTTAAGATCAGCTCCTTGTCTTACCTTATTCCTGTCCCCCAATTTCATGCTTCACAGTATCATTGAAAACTAACAGCTCATAATTGCAGTGAAAACTAGCAGGCTGGTAGCCCCTTGGAAGGACCAGAACAGGTTTGGAGCTTTTTGAAAGCTTCATTTTGTCATTATTTGACCTGTCTGGTGGGTCATCCCCACTGAAAGGATGTCTTTATTTTGCCTTACTTGAAGCATCCCCAACCCCAAACCCCCTCCCCCGACAAGTGCAAGAGCCTTGTGCCTGGCAATGTTTGTCAAAAACAATTACAGGCTATCATTTAACTTTATGGCTGCCAGAGGCAGTAAAAACAGTGCATAAAAACAATAGACTAACTACAAAGCTTAAAAGGAAAAACTAGGGAATGAAATAATCCTAGAGTCTTTGTAAACGTCTGACATATCTCTGAGAATCGAGAAGGCAAGATGCATGCCTAGAGCTGTGTATATGCCCTAGGCTATGCACATGTTTAGAAAAGAACTGAGAAGTCCATACATCATCACATCAGACTAACCATGACACTCTGTATAAACAGGAAGTCGAAGCTAAAACTAAATTCTCAGTTGTCTGGTGAGTGTTGAAAGTAAGCCTTCAGCAGAAACTAGGAGTCTTATTGGTTCCAGACATTTAAGAATCTCTGTCCACTTATTATGTGACAACCAAGATAACTGAGCAGAGACTTCAAGAACCACAAAAGAAAAAGAATACAGCCTATACAGAATTAGTTTAGAAAAATTCCTAAATAAATAAACGTCAATAAACAGCAATAAGCTTGTGAAGGTTTGGAGAGTCTAATTTTAGAAGTCACCATATTATATTATTTTATATGCCTAGTTTTTCACCAAAAAAATTCAATGTATATAAAATAAGAAAGTATAGTACATACAAAGGGAAAGAAACCATTAACAGAAAATATTTCCAAGCAAACCCAGACATTGGACTAACAGACAAATAATTTAAATCAAGTATTTTAAATATGTTTCAAGAACTAAAGGAAACCACATCTAAAAAACTAAAGAGATGTAAGAGAGCAATGTCTCACTCCCACTGAGTACAGAATATCAATACAGTAATACAGAGATATAAATTATTTTAAAAAGAAGCAAATGCAACTACCTAAGTTGAAAAGTAAAATAACAAAATATACCTCAGGGGTTAAAAAGTACATTTGATCAGTCAAAAGATGAAATTAGCATGTATAAAGGCAAGTTTATTGAGATTATCCAGTATAAGTAACATCTAGAAAGAAGACTGAAGAAAAAGAACAGTGCCTCAGAAACCTAGGACATCCTAAAGCATACCAACGTATGCAATGTGGGAGTTCCAGGAAGAGAAGAGAGAAAGAAAAGGGTCAGAAAGAATTTTTGAAGAAGTAATTAACCTAAATTCTCCACATTTGATGAAAAAAATACTACACATCTAAGAAACTCAACCAAATCTTAACAGGATAAACTAAAAAAGATCTACACTAGCCACATCATAATTGTCAAAAGCCAAAGGCAAAGTATTGAAGGTAGCAAGAAATAAGTGACTCATCATGTAAAGGAAACTTTAATAAAGATTAACAACTGATTTCTAATCTAAACTATGGAGGCCAGAAGGCAGTGGGATCACATATTTAAAATGCTGAAAGTAAAAGATAGTCAACATAGAATTCTATATTCAGCAAAAACATCTTCCAAAATAAAGGAGACGTTAAGATGTTTTCAAACAAACAAAACAAAAACAAAATCTGAGAAATTATGTCACTAGTATACCTACCCTAAAGAAAATAATAGCAAGAGTTCTGCAGACTGAAAGGCACGAGACAATAATTCAGTTTCACATGAAAAAATAAAAAATACCACTAAGGGCAATAACATATAAATATTCAAAAAAATATAAATATGTATATTTTTGTTTTTAACTCTTCTCTCCTCTCTGATATAAAAGACAACTGCATGGAGCAATAATTACAAATCTATGTTGATGGGTACATGACATATATATAATTTGCATGACAATACCAGTGCAAAGTGGGGGAAGCAGCAAAGTTTTTGTATGTTATTTAAATTAAGGTGATATTAATCTGAACTAAAATAAATTAAGATATTAATTGTAATACCCTAAACAACCACTAAGAGAACAAATTTTAAACTAGCAAAAGTAATGACAAGGGAATTCAAGTGTCACACAAGAAAATATTTAACACAAAAGAAGGCAGCAATCAAAGAATAGAGAAATGAAAACATACAAGACAACTATAAAACAAATATCAAAGTGGCAGACATAAAATTCTACTTTATCTGTAATTACATTTATATATAAATTAAACACTCCAATTAAAAGGCAGAGATTGGCAGAATTTATAAAAATAACATAACCATATGCTGTCTATAAGAAATAGACTTTAGATTCAAAGACACAAATAGTTTGGTAGTCAAAAGGCAGAAAAAAATATAGGCGAGACCAACAAGGAGTGGGAGTGGCTATAATAATAACAGGAAAAATAAATTTTAAGACAAAATTTGTTACTAAAGACAAAGACATTTTATAATGATATGGGTCTCTCTAGTGGGTCTGTTCACAATTTATTAACAGGAAATGGCAAGTTTAAGTATATATGCCTGCCTTTGGCAACAGATACCTAAAATACATGAAGCCAAAACATAAAGATCGAAGGGTGCAATAGAAAATTCAACAATACTAGTTTGAAACTTCAAAGCCCCCCATTCAGTATTGGCTAGAAAAACTAGAGAGACTATCATAAAGGAGAAGACTTAGACAACACTATAAACCAACTAGATGTAACAGACATCTGTAGAATAGTTCACCCATCAGCTGCAGAATACACGTTCCTCTAAAGTGTATATGGGACATTTATGGGATGGACCATATGATATAGGCCATAAAATAAGTTTTAGTAAATTTAAAAGGACTGAAATCATACAAAGTTTGTTCTTTGACCCCAATGGAATGAATTAGAAATCAACAACAGAAGTAAACTTGTGAAAGTCATACAAATATGTGGAAATTAAACAACACATTCCTAAAACAATGTGTCAAGGATAAAATAACAAGAGGAGTTAGAAAATTTATTAAAATGAATCAAAACAAAAACTCTAGTATCTGAACCACCAGTGGATATGCTTCTAGTATTTATATTTTTCTGTTAACAAACACATTTACTAGCTGTTTTGAATGTCTGTTAATTTTTTATTGTAGGCCAGAGCTACTTTAGAAAAAATAGTTTGGCTAGGCTCAGTGGCTCATGCCTTTAATCCCAGCACTTTCGGGGGCCAAGGTGGGTGGATCACCTGAGGTCAAGAGTTTGAGACCAGCCTGGCCAACATGGTAAAACTCCATCTCTACTAAAAATACAAAAATACATGCCTGGTGGCAGCACTTGTATTCCAACTACTCAGGAGGCTGAGGCAGGAGAATAGCTTGAACCCTCGAGGTGGAGGTTGCTGTGAGCTGAGATGGCACCATTGCACTCCAGCTGAGGCGACAAGAGTGAGACTCTGGAATAATTTGAAGCTGCTGACGATGTCATCTACCCCCAGAGAGACTTTTCTTTTTTCTCTATTTAGCAGATATGGTGAGAAGCTGATGATCTCAATTCAATCAGGAACTAAGCTGGTTTGGGTATACACTGCAGTTTCACAAAGACTCAGTTTATCTCAGTTTTGATTTTGTTTAGGAATTAGCCCTCCTGTGATTTTATTTGAGAGCTTGACTAGTATGTGTCTCTTCAGTCCTAAAAGCCTGTGGGAAAAGTTTTTTTCTTTCTTCAGAAGTTCCTAGCTCATCTCTTTCTGGTCATCATTTCTGCCAAATAAAGCTTCAAAATCAAATAAGGGAAAGACAGGCAATATGCTTGAGACAGACTCCTTCTCTCTAGTGGACCTGTTTTGTAAGCACTGTGGGGAAGCACAAGCTTTCACTTTGTCTTGTAGAAGCTTTTAATAAATATACAGCCTAGTTTCTCGGACTTCTGCACAGCCCAAACTCAGCTAATTGCCTATGGAGGAAACTGGTTATGAATTTGAGACCACTGACATTTTTAATTTATTCAATCACCATGTACTCAGTAGAATTTTGTTGGTTTCCTTTCCAGAACACCCACAAGGATCAACAAAGATTCTTTGCCTAGGATTAGTCTGATCTTCATTCTGTTCATACCCATAATCAGCAAATATCCCCAAGAAGAAAAATCCTCTCTTTAGGATTTTAGGATTTTAGTCCTCCTTGCTTCTATGGCTCTCTAATGCTTTTTTTTTTTTTTTTTTTGAGACGGAGTCTCGCTCTGTCGCCCAGGCTGGAGGGCAGTGGTGCGATCTCCCCTCACTGCAACCTCTGCTTCCCGGGTTCACGCCATTCTCCTGCCTCAGCCTCCTGAGTAGCTGGGACTACAGGCGCCTGCCACCACACCTGGTTAATTTTTTTGTATTTTTAGTAGAGACGGGGTTTCACCGTGTTAGCCAGGGTGGTCTCAATCTCCTGACCTCATGATTCGCCCGCCTCGGCCTCCCAAAGTGCTGGGATTACAGGCATGAGCCACCGCCCCCGGCCCTCTCTAATGCTTTTAAAAGTATGATTTTTAAAATTGTATCCAACGGTAGTATTGGACTTCCATGAACTTTAGGAAAGTGAAAGTTGCATTTACTGTGTTTTAGGAGCATTGCTTTCCATATCAAGCACAATGTTTCAGAAGAAAAAAAGGGTGAGAAAGAAGTAGCTGCCCAATGAGAATGACAAGAGATAAGTATGGTCAGATACGATAATAATTATAATGAAGTAAGTATTAGATAATGCAAGTAGTCTTATAGATCTCGGGAATACTAGAACCCTACAGCTTTTTAAACAAAACCTAATTCAACCTGTCCATTTTATAGGTGGAAAATACAGAGACCAAGAGGAAAATTGACCTATTGTACCCTATTTCCTTTAGGTTTTCTTCAGCTACAATTTTTTGGATATTGTTTATTCCACTTCCACATGGAATCCCCAGCAAAATCAGCTACCCTACTTAATTTAAGAAGAAGCCCCTTTGAATATTTAGATACTAATTAATCCTTCAATCTAGCTATAAAATATATTTGCTTTTGTACTTTACTTGAATTTTTAATGCAGTGACCATCTTCAGCAGGAGCAAAACTATGAGCACAGTCTAATGAGCACTGATAAATATTACATTTCCTTACACTGAACAAATTCTTGCTCCCTGCTGTTTCCCTAATAGCTTAAATTAGCAGGCCATGATTGCTGGAGTTTCATTGCTCTTCATCAGAGAAATGGCTGTGATTGTCTTTTTTCCACACTGCATCCATTCATCACAGAGACTCTGAGCTGTAAATATAAATCATTTCTATTACTAATGACACAGCCTGTTTTATATTAACTATCTTCTATTCTAGTGATGTATCTTAAAGTTTTTTTACTGATATCATTTGTTATGCTATTATGTAATATGACAGTCTCTATAAGATATTGTTTACATCCATATTTCATTCTCACAACTGATTTTTGGGTTACACATTGTCATATTAATTTTGCAGATAGGGAATAAAAGGTCACAGAAGCTTGATCTGCTAAAAAAAAGTGGCAGAACAAAAATTTTAGTCCAGTTCTGTCTCCCAAGCCCACATTCTTTCCACTTCTGCAAGTTGTCCTCTTCCTATTCAGGTCTCGAGACATTCTTTTCTGTGCAGGTCTTGCAAATTCTTTACAACAAAAAAAGCCAATTCTAGAGTATACAATTTACTCAACATCTATAATTTTAAGATATAACACTACTCCATGGGAAATTGTTGGTACAATCCAGGTTTGGGTTGCCCCCAGACAGTTACTATATGAGGAAGGGGGTTAATGCTTTAAAAATGATTGATATTGGTACAAAAGAATTAAAATAATTACACTGAATCCTTCAAAAATTTCTCCATAGCTGGGCACGGTAGTACATGCCTGTAGTCCCAGCTACTAGGGGGGCTGAGGTGGGTGGCTGTTAATTAATTTGGCTTTGCTCTGAAGGAATACCTGCAATTGGGTAATTTATAAAGAAAAGAGTTTTATTTGACGCACGGTTCTGTGGACTGTACAAGAAGCATGGCATCAACATCTGCTTCTGGTGAGGCCTCAGGAAGCTTTGAATTGTACCAGAAGGCAAAGGAGGAGCCAGCGTGTCACATAGCAAGAGACAGAGCAAGACGGAGAGGAGGAACTGCCACATTCCTTTAAACAACCAGCTCTCAAGTGAACTAACAGAGCTAGAACTCACTCGTTACCATAGGATGGGCACCAAGTCATTTATGAAGGATCAGCACCCATGACCCAAACACGTCCCACTAGGCCCATCTCCAACACTGGAGGTCGCATTTCCACATGAGATGTGGAGGGAACATACATCCGAACCATATCAGGAAGTATCACTTGAGCCCAGGAGTTTGAGGCTGTAGTGAGATATGATTGCACCACTGCACACCAGTCTGAGTAACAAAAAGAGGGAGAGCCCCTTTCTAAGAATAAAATAAAATAAAATAAAATGAAAATAAAATATTCTCCAAATTTTATTATGAAAACTTTTAATTATACAGATAAGCTGAAAGGATAGACTAAGAAAAATTCATATACCCACTAGCTAGACTTTACAGTTATTTTGCCATATTTCTTTTATATATCTACCTAGCTATAATTTAGATGTATGCCTTTTTCCTGAACCATTGAGATTAAGTCACAGTCCGTCTTAGTTTGTGCTTCCATAACAAACTGTTAAAGACTGGGTAATTTATAAAGAACAGAAATACTTTTCTCACAGTTCTAAAGGCTGAGAAGTCCAAGATCAAGGCACCAACAGATTTGGTGTCTGATAAGAGCTGCTGTCTGCTTCCAATGTGGCATTATTTGTTGCATCCTCACACAGAGGAAGACAGAAGGGCAAAGGGACCTAGCTAGTTCCTCCAACCCTTTTCCACGGCACTAATCCTGTCCATGAGAGTGGAGCCGTCATGGCCTAATCGCCTCCTAAAGTTTCCACTTTTTTTTTTTTTTTTTTTTTTTGAGACGCAGTCTCGCTCTGTCACCAAGCTGGAATGCAGTGGCGTGATGTCGGCTCACTGCAACCTCCGCCTCCCAGGTTCAAGTGATTCTCCTGCCTCAGCCTTCCTAGTAGCTGGGACTATAGGCGCGTGCCACCACGCCCGACTAATTTTTGTGTTTTTAGTAGACACGGGGTTTCACCACGTTGGCCAGGCTGGTCTCGTGGCACAGTGATCCGCCTGCCTCAGCCTCCCAAAGTGCTGGGATTACAGGTGTGAGCCACCGCGCCCTGCCAGTTTCCACTTCTTAATACTGCTTCATGTAGATCAAGTTTCAACATAAATGGTGGAGAGGAAAAAACATTCAAACCACAGCACAATCATAATAGACATTCACTCCTAAATACTTCAGCATGTATCACTTAAAATTTAGTTTTCTGTATAAACATAACTTCATTATTATACCAAGATTAGCAATATTACTTAAAAATTACTCTTATTATCTAAAATTCAGTTCATATTCAAAATTCCAAAGTGTCCCTAACAGGTATTTATGTTCACTTTTTAAAATAAAGATATGTATTTTTTTTGCCTCTTTAGGTTATATCAGTTTTGGGCCAGGCACAGTGGCTCACACCTGTAATCCTAGCACTTTGAGAGGCCAGGGCGGGTGGATCACCTGACGTCAGGAGTTCGAGACCAGCCTGGCCAACATGGTGAAACCCCGTCTCTGCTAAAAATACAAAAATTAGCCAGGCGTGGTGGTGGGCGACTGTAATCCCAGCTACTCGAGAGACTGAGGCAAGAGAATCACTTGAACCTGGAGGGCGGAGGTTGCAGTGAGCCAAGATTGTGCCACTTCACTGTAGCCTGGGCAACAGAGCGAAACTCTGTCTCAAAAGAAAAAAACAAAAAAAGCTTAATCAGTTTTGGCTCTTTTAATCTCCATAATCTTCCTACCTATCCATCTTTTTTGTTGTTGTTCCTCAGGACATTGACTTTTAAAAGATACTAGAGTAGTTGTTTTATAAAATGCCCTACATTTGAGATATTCTGATTGTCTACTGTATCTCTGAACCTGTGTCTTTATCTCCTTTAATCCCTGTAGGCTGGTGTTTAGATTTAAAGACTGAATAGATTCAGGTTAACTATTTCTGGCAAACATCTTTCCTGGGTAATGCTGTCTACTTCAGATTGCATCTTATTGGGCTGTACACAATGTTAGGTTGCCCCACAATTATTGACAAAAAGGTTGATCACTTGGTTCAGGGAGCAATCATCAGAAGGGTACATGTATTTTTTCCCCTTTTAATAAGTTTTTTGACTTACATTGGGCAACTAATGGATTTAACATCCATTAATGACCCTTAGGCTAAGCAAAAATTTCATTGGGAGTTGTAAAAGGTGATCTTCTAACTCCAACTTCTATAGTTTAAAGGATAATAAACTATCAAATTTCTTCAAAAGACAGCAGGTGAAGTCTTATTTTTGTCCATTAATCATAAATTTTGTTAGTAAGGTAAGAAAAATTCATTCACAGGTAACTTTCTTTATGTAATAGTTATCTCCAATGTGGCAAATGAATTTATCTTTTTTTCCCCTCTGTTCTTTTTTCTCTTCACCACCATGAGCTAAAGGACTTTTATTTAGTTCATGTACTACAATGTTTCCTAATCTCACTTTCCCTAACTTCAAACTGGACTAAGACATTTCTCCAAGAAGCCCTAGTTTCTTTTCATCATGTATGATATGTAGAAAGCAAGATCTGGGCACTAGAGGTGCTTGTTGAAACTGATGTGTCATTGTTTCTGGGCTCTTTCAGTTGACAGAGGGGGGAAAAAATTACTTCTATCTCTCTGTTGATCTCAGTCTCTGTCTATATATAGTAAATATCATTAATTTCTGTTGATATGCCTATTTAATTTTTAAATGGAATAATTTGATGAGAAAAGTTTCAACATCTGGTAAGATCTAATGTAAGGGTTTGCTTTCTGTGTCCTGTCTAAAAAACGACTACTCCCAAATCATGCAGACATTCTAGAATGGATTCTTCTAATAGCGTTATGGTTTCAGTTTTTATGTTTACATCTATAAGTTCATGTCTAACTAATTAGCTTTTGTATAATATGAAGTGAGAATTGAGGTTTATTTTCTTACAGATACAGTTGCTCTAGGACAATTGTTGAATAGACGTTTTTCTCCATTCTAATACTTTGGCATTTTTGTCAAAAAGTCAAATTACAGAGAGATTCTATTTTTGAATTTTCTCTTCTGTATCATTGATATATTTGTTAAAATTTATACCAGTGTATTAGTGCTTTCTCATATTGCTGTAAGGAACTACCTGAGACTGGGTAATTTATGAAGAAAACAGGCTTCATTGGCTTACAGTTCTGCAGGCTATACAGGAAGCATGATTAGGAGGCCTCAGGAAAGTTACAATCATGGTGAAAGGTGAAGGGGAAGCAAGTATGTCTTCATATGTCAGAACAGGAGAGAGAGTGAAGGGGGAAGTGTTACACACTTTCACCCAGATCTCATGAGAACTCTATCATGAGAAGAGCAAGGGGGAAGTCGGCCCCCATGATTCAATCACCTCCCATCAGGCCCCTCCCCTGACACATGGGGATTACAGTTTGACATGAGATTTGGGTGGGGACACAGAGCCGAACCTCATAACCAGTATTACATAGTGTTGATTACTTAGCTGTTTAGGAAGTCCCAAAGTCTGACAGTGCAAATCTTTGTTTTTGTTTTTAAGATTACTTCAGATAGTCTAGGTATTTTGCATTTGCATGTAAACTTTCACATCTTCACAATATTGAGTTATCCAATCTATAAAAGTACTACATCTTTTAATTTAGATATTCTTTAGTGTGTCTCAGGAAGGTTTTGCTGCTTCCATTGCAAAGATCTTGCATGCTTTTTGTGAATTTTCTTCCTAATTTATTTATTGGTATTGTAAACTGCATATTTAAATTTTTATTTTCAAACTGTTGCTACTTGTACATAAAAAATGCATTTGATCTTGTGTTTTAAACTTGTATCCTGAAATCTTCCTAAAAGCATGTGCTAGCTAATTCCCATAGTTATTTCATATTAATAGATTCCCTAGGATTCGCTACATAAACAATGAAATCATAGACAAATAGAAACATTGTTACATCTTCCTTCCTAAACTGATGCCTTTTATTTATTTATCTTGTTTTAATTCACTGGCTGTCATTTTTTTAAGTGATAAATCAAAATAATCAGGGTGGAAATTCTTACCTTGTTTCTGATCTTAAAGAGAAAACTGTATGACATTAACTGTAAGTACTCTTCTACATTTATGAGATACATACAACGATAAAATTTTTAAATGGCTTTTTGGTCATATTTCTTCTTAAATACTTAAGAAAATTTACTAGTTAAATCAAATGGTCCTGTAATTTTCTTCATGTAATTTTTCTAGCTGTACCTTTTGAAAATTTTGTTTCTATAATATTTCTTGTCAAATTATTGGCATAAAATTTCATACTACCCTCCTTAGTATCTGAAGGATTTGGAATAAGAGCACCTTTTTCAGCCCTGATAATCATAATCCGTGTTCTATCTTTTTCTCTATCATTTTGGAGGTTTATAAATGGTGTTATCTTTTTAAATAAACACATTTTGGCTTTCTTAATGTTTATAGTTTGTCTGTTTTATGTCTCATTGATTTCTACTTTTAGCTTTCTCCATACTGTACATTTATTTTGCTGTTCTCTTTCTAGCTTCTTAAGGTAGAGCCTCTGGTAATTTTTTCTAGACCTCTCATTTCTAATAAAAGCATTTAAAGGTATTTTTTCCCAGCACTATTTTAAGTAATTCTCCAACTTTTTGATATTCTATATTTCCATTATTATTCAATTAAAAATGTTGCTCAGGTCCCTTGAAAATTACTCTATAACTTTCATATTATTTAGAAATTGGTTTAGAAATTGATTTCTAAATATGTTTATTTTTTGTTTCTAATTTAGTTCTATTTTGAACTTAAGATATACTCTCTATGAATTTTTTTAATAGCTTTAGTGAGGTATAACTCAATTTCAGTAAACTACATGTGTTTTTAAATTTTTTTTTAATATTACTTGGTTAAGTATCCATTCAACTGTTTGTTATCCATATTTTATTGGTTGGTTGTTTTCATATTATTGAGTTTTGAGAGTTCCTTATATAATCTGAATGTAATTCCTTTATCAGATACACGATGCAAATATTTCCTCCTAATCCTGTTTCTCTCTGAGAACAAAAGTTGCAAAAGTTGTTGCTGATGGGTCTTTGTGGGTGTTTTGGTAATTTTGATAAAACTGAATTAATCAATTTCTTTTTTTTTTTTTTTTGAATTGTGCTTGGTGTCTTATTTGGGTTACATTCACCTAAAAAAGTCACAAAGTTTTTTTCCTAAGTTTTCTCTATTTATATTATATGTTACATATAATATCATAAACATATAACATTATATTCTATAAGTTTTATAGTTTCAGGTTTTATATCATATCATCAATTTTACTATGTTTCATCTTAAGCTAATTTTTGTATTTGCTGCAAAATACAAATTAAAGTTCAAAGTTTTGCAAATAGATATCCAGTTGCCCTAGCATGATTTTTTGAATAGACCATACTTTTTCTCTCTTTCATCTTTGATGGGAATGAAGATATATTAGATATCGATATAGGTAGATAGACAGATAGATGGATATGTGGTTTATCTCTGGACTCTATTCTGTTTCATTGATCAGTATGTATTTCTTGACACCAATACCACAAGGCCTTGGTTGCTATAGCTTTAAAATAACTCTCGAAATTAGGTAGTAACAGTCCTTTAATTTTTTTGATGTTTTTCAGAGTTGTTTTGAGTATTCAGAGTCTTATGCTATTATACATGGATTATAAAATCAGATTTTAATTTCTAAAACAAAAATGCTGCTGAGATATTTATGATGATTTATTAGATCAGAAGGACCATTTTGAGGGAATTAATGGCTTAATATTAAGTATTCTAACCCATGAACATAGTATATCCCTCAACTTAGATCCATATTAATTTGTCTCTACAATGTGTTTCGTAGTTTTCAGTTTATAAATCTTGCATATCTTATGTCAGATTTGTGCCGAGGTATTTCATGATTATGACTTTTTTTAAATTTCAGTTTTTGATTGCTCATTGGTAGTATGAAGAAACTGTTTTTTACATATTTTCTTAAATTTTGCAACCTTGATGAATTTATTCAAGCTTACAGTTTTTTGGTAGACTCCATGGGAATTTCTTCATGTACAACCATGCTACTGGAGAATAACAATAATTTTCGTTGTTTTGTTCCAACATGATTACCTTTTATTTATTTTTATTGCTTTATTGCAGTGACTAGAACGGGCAGTACAATTTTTTTTTCTTTTGAGACAGTGTCTCGGTCTGTCGCCCAGGCTGGAGTGCAGTGGTGCGATCTCCGCTCACTGCAAGCTCCACTTCCCAGTTTTACGCCATTCTGCCTCAGTTTCCCGAGTAGCTGGGACTACAGGTGCCCGCCACCACGCCTGGCTAATTTTGTTTGTATTTTTAGTAGAGACAGGGTTTCACCGTGTTAGCCAGGATGGTCTGGATCTCCTGACCTCGTGATCAGCCCACCTCGGCCTCCCAAAGTGCTGGGATTACAGGCGTGAGCCACCGTGCCTGGCCGGCAGTACAATGTTGAATAAAAGTGGTGAGACCACATATCCTTGTCTTGTCGTGATGTTAAAGATAAAACATTTAACAATTCATCATTAAATATAATAGGGAGCTGTAGGTTTTTCTTAAATAACTCGTACCAAGTTGAAGATGTTCTCTTATATTTACAGTTTGCTAAGAGTTTTTTACAAAGGATGGATGTTGAATTTTGTAACATGCTTTACGCATATCTATTGAGGCAACTGTGCTGTTTTTCTCATTATTTTTAATATGGTAAATTTCATTGCTGATATTCAGATGTTAAACAATCCTTTCATTTCTGAGATAGACTACATTTGGTCCTGAAATGTTACCTTTTTGTACATTCTTAAATTTGCTAACATTTTGCTTAGAAAGTTTGCACCTTGTTTATGTGAGATAAAGGTTTATAGGTTTTTTTTCTCTTTTTTTTGGTTTTGGTATCAGGATAATGTTAATCTTATAAAATTATTTGAATAGTATTCTTTTTTCAATTGATTTATCTATATATTCCCAATTAATTATTGATTAATTGATGAAGCAATTTAAGGAATGAATCTAAGTCTAATTCTACCCTGACACCACCTTCATATATTCTATTTGTTATTCACTTGTTTGTTTATTCTGAAAGATTAATTAAACACTTACAGTGTCCCAGGTACTGTGCTAGAGTCTGGGGACATAGTAATTTTAAAAGACTATTATTTCTTCTTCTTATATGAGACTTGGAGTTACATGATTCCTTGGCCTTTGCATCTTCATGGTGACTGATGACTTCTTTTCCTCATAAGAATATGTCAGAATATGGATCTTACACAAAAGTCTCCAGTCTAAAAATGATTGCAATCTCCATGGAATAGGATCACAGAAAAATTAAAAATCCTCCCTATTCCTATCAACCAATCATTATGCCTTATCCTACAGAAAAGCATATGAGCAGTTTTGCAAAATGTTAATTTTTAAACTGTGTGGTTAAAGCACTATGAGCTGAAATATTGGTAAAGCACCAATGTTTTGGAAAAATTGTAGGGTTTTTAAAAAATTGCTGCTCTCTTTCATACAATTTTTCTGTCCTATGTAATTATCGTTTTTTGTTTGTTTGTTTGTTTTGTTTTTTTGGGACAGAGTTTCGCTCTTGTGGCCCAGGCTGGAGTGCAACGGCGCGATCTCGGCCCACCGCAAACTCTGCCTCCTGGATTCAAGCTATTCTCCTGCCTCAGCCTCCTGAGTAGCTGGGATTACAGGCATGTGCCAGCAGCCCAGCTAATTTTGTATTTTTAGTAAAGTCGGTGTTTCTCCATGTTGGTCAGTCTGGTCTCGAACTCCTGACCTCAGGTGATCCGCCTGCCTCGGCCTCCCAAAGTGCTGGGATTACAGGTGCGAGCCACTGCGCCCGGCCGTAATTATTGTGTTCTAAGAGTATTATACTACTAACACTGAAAGCAGACTTTATTTAAAAACTCTCCGTAATGAGGAATGCTGCCATATGATACATAGGCATATCATTGTCATTGAATCAGTAGGTTATACCCCAGGTCACAGTTCATTTTTGAAATATCATTTGATGGCATCATGATGTTCTTGTCATAATCCTTAAAACATCATACTGTCTAATTAAAGAAAAAATTAAAACTTTTTTTCAACTTTAAACAGCATCAGCGTTAACTGGGTGGTCCATAGACCAACTGCTTTTCTATGTAATTTGCTGATTTCTGTATTTGAAACCAATAAGGAAAAAAAATCAATATTAAGCACAATAACTCAATTTATTTCACTGAAAACAGGTCTTTGTTTCAAAGCTTCTCTTGCCTTATGATGTGGCACATGATATTACAACAATTCAAAATTGCCGTCAGAGACGCAAGAAAATCAGAGGTCATTGATGAAAATGGCTTTAGAATTTTACATTATGAAAAACCTAAGACGATTTTTAAGAGTGTGCTTGTGTGTATATGTGTTATTTTAAAATATCCTCACTTGGAATGTATGAACAATTAATGCTACAAGTAGTCAGTCCGTAGATTTATCATTGAAGCCTCTTCAATCTGAAGATGAGCAGCCATGCAGCATGCCTGGATAATGGGAATCTGTAATGAAAATTTCTGACTGTTATCATTGTTCTCTAAATTTCCATTTGGTGACAACCTTTGTGAGATAATTACACATCATCAAAGTTCTAATGAACTACCAGACAGTTAATGCCTGGACACGAGGCAAAGCTGCTAAGAAACGTGTCACAGGCAGTTTCGCAGCAACTAACATACAAAAATGTAGGCTTCATTAACAGTGTTCAGAAAGACAGATGAGTCTCCATCCTGCCTAACCCAGTGGTTAATTTATTGACTGACTTTAACAGTGACGTCCCTTTGGAGGGATTTTAATAGTTTCGAAGTTGCTTGCTGAGGTTTTAATAGACATTTGCCTCACTGAGCTCAATAAATATGGAGTGCAGTTTGAAATCTTGCAACCTAAAATGTAAGCAACTGACTGAATGAGGTTAGAAAGGATTTATATTTCTTCTAAATATACTTCTGAGCTGAAGTCCAAGTGAAAAAGAGTTCCAAAATATCCACCTACTCTTGGAAAACTTTCTCTTATTTTATGTTTAGACCTTTGATGCTATAAAATAGAAAACTGTGTCAGGGAAAAAAGAAAAGAAAAGGAAAAAAAAAAGAAAAAGAAAAAGAAAGCTAAGAAATTCCTTTCAGTTTGCTCCAGAGTAGATTTTAGAAAGCTGCGTTGGAATTGGTTGTAACTATTCAGGTTAAGGCAAAGTAAGTGCCAAATGTTTCATTTCTCACACTCCAATTACTGTGTTTGGAACCAAATGCATCGTGGCTTATAAGGACACCCAATCGTTTGTGTACTGCTGCAGCTTACTTATTTGGTCATGTATAGAGTGTTTTTGTTGTTGTTTTGGTTTTGGTTTCTTGCTACAAAGTTAAAACACATAAAAAATAAAGTGTACGAAGTGCTTGCTCTGCTAGGCACCGTGCAGTATTTTCATGAATTTAAGCTCACTGATTCCTCAGAAAAATCATAGGAGGCAGGAACAGTTATTGCCCTTATTTCTATGAAAACTAGTTTAAGGACATTTTCCAAAATCATATAGCTAATATATTTCAAAATTTGGAATTGATCCTATATTATTTACTTCTAGGTCCATTACTCTAAAACATCAAATTATTATGTGGATTCACCTTCTTTTCAGAATAATAGGTGAATTTTTTTTTACCTGTTTCACTGAATGAAGTCACTATGGCTTAAAGTTATCAGGCAACTGTTTGATAATAAACTCAATTTGCCCATATAAATGCACATGAAGAACTGTGAGCCAAATATCAAAATTAATTTTCATTGACTTATGATTTTAATATTGTCATCTTAAAAATATACATTTCTGATAATGTTTTTTATTGTTGATGAAAAATAATAAAATAAAATCAAGCCCTTGGGAAATTAAAATCAAATAAATAAATTTTAAATAAAAGGTATTTCTAACATTTTATAGTCTCATATTTATTATTTATTTCCTGAAATGTAATTGAAATAGTCATTTAGATATTATTTCAACTAAGTATTTCAGTATTTCATGATAAAAATCTTTTTATTTTTTATTTTTTTGACAGAGTCTCGCTCTGTTGCCCAGGCTGGAGTGCAATGGTGTGATCATAGCTCATTGCAGCCTCAAACTCCTGCGCTCTAGTGTTCCTCCCACCACCTGGACCTTCCCAGTAATTGGGAGTACAGGTGTGAGCCACCAGGCCCACTTTTTTTTGTAGATATGGGGTCTCACCATATTGCCCTGGCTGGTCCTAAACTGGCTCAAGCAAGCCTTCTGCCTCAGTCTCCCAAAGTGCTAAGATTACAGGTGCAAGCTATGGCACCAAGTCTGATAAAAATCTTAGAAACAGTATTATGAAGTTTTACTTTTCTATTATGAGAAAAAGAAGACTCAGTATAATGTTTAAATAACTAAAATTAATGTACATGAATGAAAGGATTAATCTTTCATGATTGGACTACTATTTTCAGAAAATAGAAAAATGTGATTATTCAAAAACTTATATTGTAATTAATATTCTCTAGACTGGTAATTATAAATCAGGACTGTATTTAGGTAGCACCATCTATTTAATATGAGAATCAGATCATAAAAATTGTAACGTTGATATGCATGATAATAACTGCCCTTTGAGTTTTGGCTTCAGAAGAAAGTCTGTGGTTTGGTGTATACCCTGGAACTTCAGGTCATTTAACAAGCTGACAATATGAAGAATTACTTTGTAGAAAAATACTTGGGATGTCTTTTTGGTGCTAATTGTCCTCAGTTTCATTTCCCTTGAATGTTTTCTGGGGGATTTTTCCATAATATAGCGTAGTTACTAAGAACACGCGCAGTAACCGAAGACTTTGGGGCCATTTCTTCAGAAGTTTTTCTTTTTTTGTTTTTGTTTTTTCTTTTTTTTTTTTTTTTTGAGACGGGGTCTCGCTCTGCTGCCCAGGCTGGAGTGCAGTGGCACGATCTTGGCTCACTGCAAGCTCCGCCTCCCGGGTTCACTCCATTCTCCTGCCTCAGCCTCCCGAGTAGCTGGGACTACATGCGCCCACCAGCATGCTGGCTAATTTTTTTTGTATTTTCAGTAGAGACAGGGGTTTCACTGTGTTAGCCAGGATGGTCTAGATCTCCTGACCTCACGATCCGCCCGCCTCGGCCTCCCAAAGTGCTGGGATTGCCGGCGTGAGCCACCGCGCCCGGCCGAGGTTTTACTAAAGTGCTGTTTATATGGCTATTGGGCAAGTCACTTAACTTAATGGAACTATTATGAAGTCAATGAGTTAATCTTTGTAAGTCTGTTGGCCCAGTTCCTGGCACATCCTGAATATTCAGGAATTGTTAGGTATTATGATTAGCAATAGTGTTTAAGCATTCCTTAAACTCTGAAAGGTTAAGAAAATCTGTCTCTACCTCAAATCTATTTAAGTAATATTTTTGTAACAGATATTGTTAAACATTTATGATGTAAATGGTTGAAAGGTATAGATTATCCTCCCCTCTCAAGCATAAAGAGAAAAACACAGTGCCAGTATTCTGAGTGTATTCTGATAATATGTCTAAAAAGTTATCAATTGATGGTCATGTTCTAATTTTCGGGTCCTTGAACCACAGTATTGTTTCTCTCTATTTCGCTAGAGCACATGGAAAATTAGGATGTGGGCAGAACACAAACAAGTATTTAATGGTCCTTCTCATTTTTTTTGTCAAATATATTTATGTATTTTACTTCTTAAATTCTTCATAGCAACCGAGTGCTAGGTACTTTCACTCCAGTTCGTGTGGATGGTAGAACACAGTAGAAAGGGAGGCTGAAAGGGATAAGCTGCATATCCAGTCCACAGCTGACAACAGGACCAGCGAATTAGCTCTACTGCAACATTTAAAGCAATGTTTGGAACATAGAAATTACTCATTAAATGGTTACTAAGCTAAACTAAACTTCTAATGAAGGGGAATAATGATTAGATCATGATATACCTAGACAAATACTTATCTAGGTTTACAAAAATTTTGGAAATGTAAAAAAAATAGTAATAATAATTGGAAAATACCTTTTCACGTGCTCCTACAAAGATCAAAAAGGAGTAAAATTAACCTTTCAGCCTAAATTGCTATAGTGCCTAAGTTTTTGGAGTAACATTTCATAGCAACATTAACAAAACCATCTCTGGTAAGCACTTGCATGGTGCTTGAGGCTTGCTATGTGATGAAACTATACATTCCTGAGTTCTTATCGTCAGATTCTTTCCTTCTGTGGCATGTGGTGATGATATCACTGGGCGTGCTCTCCATGCTATGCAATTCTTGCATAATTTGTCACTTCTTCTCCTTCTAAATGCTAATATGCATACACCCACTGCTGACACAAATCCTCTATATATCTCTCTCATTATATATCTCACATTGTCTACTTGCCCACCCGTGCTTAATGCCCACGCCATGGCTTATGATATGCTGCATAATTTTAGCAAAGAATATGGATTGGACAAAGCCTCTTGCTCTCTAATATAGAATTTTCTTTGTTCTCTCTAATACTTAGCTTATCCCTATAGATTGTAAAGTGTCTTGAGCAGTAATAAGAATCATTACAAACATACAGGGTTGCAAATTGTATGCATTTGTTTTTCTCTAACAAAAGAGGGGTGTTTAATTTCACACAACCTTGGCCTCCAAGGATAAGTTTCTTGAAAGTTATAACTTCAGTAGCATAAACTAGTGATCGTATTCACCAGTAACATGAAAACACTCGTTCTTCCTTCCCAAATGGTACACATAATCAGGTTGTCAAAGAAGAACAATTATCTTCCATACTAATTGGCAACTTGTGTTTAACCTTTAATTAGCTGGGAATTTATAATAGCTCTAACTGGTCTTTTTCTTTTCTTATAGAAGGTCACAGTAACATTCTCTGTTACCTTTCTCTACTCCCACACTCCAGCTTCCAAGGTATTACGATAACAGTTTAAATGGAAAAATAGAGGCTCTGCAACCTTAGGTTGCTGTCCTTAGGTGTGTGCTGAGCTGGCACATTCATGAAAAACTGAAATTGTTGAAAGACAGGAATCCCTTGTTACTTCTACTTCAAAAGGAAATTCAAATAGATTTTTTTCTTTTTTTTTTTCTTTTGTCTGTCTTGGTACAACTTGATGCAATCAGTTTTTACCTTCTGCTTTTTCCACTTGAAAGGCATAGGACTTATTAGCAGAGATGACGTTTTCTTACATGGTCATCCCATTCTTGGTTTGGCAGATTACTGTGCTGGAAAGACACAGGAAAACATTTTCTCCTTTGGTGATGAACACCTTTGATGTCCTGGGTCTTATAAAAAAGAAACTTTGTGATGACGAGTGCATTATTTTTTCCTGGTGAAAATGTTTATGTGTTGGAAAACACTTTGACTGTCACAGAAAAGTGTCACCAAAAATTATCAAAAACGGGAGATACTCTGGAATCTGCTTGTAATAATTACCCTACCAGAAATTACTTGCCACTGTATGATTGAAGACTAATTGTTTTTGGCTTGACTTTTAATGCTGGTTAAACCACTGTGTGATTGAATAATCAAATGGAAATAATGGAGGGAATTAGAAAATACAAAATGGAAGGAATTAGAAACCGGGTACTTTAAGAAACTCATAGGCTGGGCATGGTGGCTCACACCTGTAATCCCAACACTTTGGGAGGCTGAGATGGGTGGGTCATGAGGTCAGGAGTTCGAGACCAGCCTGGCCAATATGGTGAAACTCCGTCTCTACTAAAAATACAAAAATTGTCTGGGCGTGGTGGCGTGTGCATATAATCCCAGCTACTCGGGAGACTGAGGCAGAAGAATCGCTGGAACCCAGGAGGTGGAGGTTGCAGTGAGCTGAGATTGTGCCAAAGCACTCCAGCCTGGGTGATAGAGCGAGACTCCATCTCAAAAAAAAAAGAAAGAAACTCATAAGTCAGATCAACGCACACACAAAAACAAAATAATAAAGAGAAATGGCCAAGTTCATATTTTCCACCAGAGATGGCCAGGTTTATTCATAGAATATAATGAAAGCATTGTTATTTACAAAGACAAATAAGACATAATATGGTTTGGCTTTGTCCCCATCCAAATCTCATCTTGAATTGTAGTCTTCATAGTCCTCACGTGTTGTTGGAGGGACCCAGTGGAAGGTAATTTAATCAAGGAATCGGTTACCCTCATGCTGTTCTTGTGATAGTGTGTGAGTTCTCATGAGATCTGATGGTCTTATAAGAGGCTTTTCCCGCTTTTGCTCGGCACTTCTCCTGGCTGCTGTCATGTGAAGAAGGACGTGATTTCTACTTCTTCTACCATGATTGTAATTCAAATAGATTTTTTTCTTTATTTTTTCTTTTGTCTGTTTTGGCACAGTTTGATGCAATCAGTTTTTTGCTTCTGTTTTTTCCACTTGAAAGGCGTAGAACTTTGAGTCAATTAAACCTCTTTCCTTTATAAATTACCCAGTTACAGGTATGTCTTTTTCAGCAGCATGAAAACAGACTAATACAGTAAATTGGTTCCAGGAGTGGGGTGCTGCTGTAAAGATACCTGAAAATGTGGAGGCAACTTTGGACCTGGGTAATAGGCAGAGTTTGGAACAGTTTGGAGGGGTCCGAGGAATACAGGAAAATGTGGGAAAGTTTGGAACTTCCTAGACACTTGGAGGGCTCCGAAGACAGGAAGATGTGGGAACGTTTGGAACTTCCTAGAGACTTGTTGAAATGCTTTAACCAAAATGCCAATAGTGATGTAGACAGTAAAG
This sequence comes from Homo sapiens, assembly GCF_000001405.40. Classification (NCBI taxonomy): domain Eukaryota; kingdom Metazoa; phylum Chordata; class Mammalia; order Primates; family Hominidae; genus Homo; species Homo sapiens. The sequence goes on from NC_000005.10 coordinate 165,527,988, forward strand.
TCCAGGTTGAGGTGGTCTTAGATAGAGACGAGGAACTTGTTAGGAACTAGAGTAAAGGTCACTTTTGCTATGCAAAGAAACTGATGGCATTTTGCCCTTGCCCTAGAGATCTGTGGAACTTTGAACTTTACAGAGATAATTTAGCATATCTGGCAGAAGAAATTTCTAAGCAGGAAATCATTCAAGAAGAAGCAGAGCATAAAAGTTTGGAAAATTGACAGCCTGACAATGTGATAGAAAACAAAATCTCATTTTCTGGGGAGAAATTCAAGCTAGCTGCAGAAATTTGTCTAAGAAACAAGGAGCCAAATGTTAATCACTAAGGCAATGGGGAAAATGTCTCTAGGTATGTCAGAGAACTTCACAGCATACCCTCCCATCACAGGCCTAGGAGGGAAAAATAGTTTCCTGGAATGGGTCCAGGGCTCACTGCTCTATGCAGCCTGAGGACATGGTGCCTTGCCTCCCAGCTGCTTCAGCTCCAGCCGTGGCTAAAAGAGGCCAATATACAGCTCAAGCTGTTGCTTCGGAGGGTGCAAGCTCCAAGCCTTGGCAGCTTACATGTGGTATTGGGCCTGTGGGTGCACAGAAGTCAAGAATTTCAGTTTGGGAACCTCTGCATAGATTTCAGAGGATGTATAGAAATGCCTGGATGTCCAGGCAAAGGTTTGCTGCAGGAGTGGAGCCTTCATGGAGAACCTCTGCTAGGGCAGTGGAGAAGGGAAATGGGGGTTGGAGGCCCCACAAAGAGTCCTCACTGGGGCACTGCCTAGTGGATCAGTGAGAAGAAGGCCATGGTCTTCCAGACACCAGAATGGTAGATCCACTAAGAGCTTGTACTGTGCACCTAGAAAAGCCACAGACACTCAACGCCAGCCATGAAAGCAGCCAGGAGGGGATTGTACCCTGCAAAGCCACAGAAGCAAAAATTCCCAAGGTTCTGGGAGCGCACCTCTCGTATCAACATGACCCGGATGTGAGATACGGAGTCAAAGGAAGCTTTAACTACATCACTGAATTTCAGACTTCCATGGGGCCTGTAGCCTCTTCATTATGGCCAATTTCTTCCATTTCCAACAGGTGTATTTACCCAATGCCTGTATCCCCGTTGTATCTAGGAAGTAACTAACTTGCTTTTGATATCACAGGCTCATAGGTGGAAGGGACTTGCCTTGTCTCAGATGAGACTTTGGACTTGGACTTTGAGTTAATGTTGGAATGAGTTAAGACTTTGGGGGACTGTTGGAAGAGCATGAGTCTGTTTTAAAGTGTGAGGACATGAGATTTGGGAGGGGACAAGGGCAGAATAAGATTTGGCTGTGTCCCCACCCAAATCTCATCTTGAATTGTAGTTCCCATAGTCCCTATGTGTTGTTGGAGGGATCCGGTGGCAGGTAATTTACTCAAAGGGGTGGTTGCCCTCATGCTGTTCTCATGATACTGCATGAGTTCTCATGGGATCCAATGGTCTTATTAGGGGCGTTTCCCTCTTTTGCTCGAGACTTCTCCTTGCTGCTGCCGTATGAAGAAGGACGTGTTTTCTACTTCTTCCGCCATGATTGTTAAGTTTTCTAAGGCCTCCCCAGCCCTGCAGAACTGTGAGTCAATTAAACCTCTTTCCTTTATAAATTACCCAGTCTTGGGTATGTCTTTATTAAGAGCATGAGAACAAACTAATACAAGCCATATTTCTAATGGAATTATAAATAGTCCTAAGATAGTACTACGATTTCAGGCTTCCTTTATTTCCCTTCCTGGTCTCCCTATTCAGTTCCATGCTACTCCTGCTATTAGGTTTGTGCAAAAATAATTGTGGTTACCTCCGTCCTTTTAAAGTCATCAGCACTGAGTTGCAATGGTGAGCAAAAATATCTGTAGCTGGCATTGGTGGTGCCCCTCCATATCACCAACTCATAGCATTTAAGAGCAAACTGGCCAGCCTGCTTACAGTCAGCATCCGAATGTCTTTGATAAACGATTTTCTCTGGGTGCTTCACAGCTTGTGTAGCAAGCCAAAAATGACTGAGAATTATCACCATTCCAGGAGTAGCCCTCAACCAATAATGTGGGGAATTGAGGTTAGTGACCCCAGATCCTCACCTCTTTGATAGGAGAAGGCTGATATATGGGTGTTACGTGGGCTCCCAGATTCTCCGCAGCAGAACAGAGCCTTCTTCACTCTCAGTGATAGCTGACTTGATAACACATTTATCCTTGACTTCCGATCCTTATTTTACTTTCCAATTCAACTAACTGTGGCTTCTTCACCTTCTATGTAAACCACTTGAATTAGAATCCTTTCTCAGGGTTTGATGCTGTGGGGATTCAAACTAAGTTGTTCAACTCATTTTTATAATAATTTCCCCACTAAAATTGAGAGATAGTATTGTGGACTATTGATATAATACTCGAAAGTGTGGGACAGAATTAATTTGAATACGAACTTAGAGGTATGCAACCTTGGGCAAGTTACTTATCTTTCCCGAACTTCAGTTAATCTTCTGTAAAATGCTGATAACCTTTTAACGAAGTTTTTGCGAGAATTAAATGAGATAATGTATAAGTGCCTAAAACATTTATCAGCTGATAAAGTTTCTAACCAGGTGACCCAAGAAGTATGACAGCAGACTATGTGCTGGTTGCCCCATCACCCAGGTACTTACTGGTCTCCTCAAAGAGGTAGGACATCTGCTCACTATTTCTCTGTGCTCTTTTCAGAAGTTTACAAAATGCATTTGTGGAGGGAAAGTTCTAATGTTTTAAGCCATCAGCTATGGCAGCTTTTAAGAGCTTTTAAGGGGACCCTGTTTCGTGCTCCTTTCCTACACAAATGAATACATTGTTAGCAAACGCAGAGACTAAAATTTATACCTATTTTTAAAAGTGTATTATGTCCTTCCAGGATGCTTTCAAATGTTTTAAAAAGAAGTTCTTGGTTAAAAGGTTAATACCATTTTGAGAACTCCAAACTGATTAAGAGACAGAGTTTCCTATGAAAGTTTTTTTTTTCTCCTGTTTTTTTGGGGAAAAATGTAAAATTGTTTGATTATAGCTGCAAAGACTCTGTTTCCACAGATTACATTTACATGTTACTGGAAGACATGAATTTGGGAGGCGGGGAATGCTATTCAGTCTAGTACAATCTTTTGTCATTTTTGTGGTGATTTTTGTTTAGTTTTAGACAAAGAATAGAACAAACAGTATAAAGAGCACAGAGTTTGGACACAGAGAATCCTGGGCTAAAATTCCAATACTGCCAATGTCTAGCAGTGTAACCTTTTATGAATCACTCTTAGCATATATTTTTTACTCTTTACTCTGTGAAATTTAAACAATCATGCCTGCATTATATTATTACTGTCATATCAAATCAAATTATGTATATGAAGTACCTGGAACACAGCTAAGAACGTAGATATGCTCAGGAAATGGAAGATATTGTTATTTATTAAAATTATTTAGGAAAAAGATAAATTAATATTAAAAATGATTCTGTCAATATGGATATTGGTACCATTCATAGAAAAGACCAAAAAAGTGATGGAATTTTAAGATATTATCTGTTTTTCTTATGGAACATATTCTGGCTTCCCTGGAGGAAAACAACACAAAAATGTTAAATCAACACACACAAAAAGTACATGTTCATTTCGAGCAGATTCTAACCCCTTATTAAATGTAGACATTTAAAATTGTTTGTGTGCCCTACAGTGTGTGTGTGTGTATTTGTGAGAGAGAGAGAGGATGAGGAAGAGGGTGTGGTGAGGTATAATGATCATTTATTGAGATATGAGTGCCAATTATGTGTTAGGCACAATACTATATTATCTTATCATATTATCTTATATGACATAGTCACCACAATCCTATGAAATATTCCTATTCAAAAGTGAGAAAACAGGTTTAAAAAAAAAAGAGCCAAAAGCTTTTCTTAAATATGTGCCAATTAAGGGAAAGATAGATTATTTAATCATTATACAGGCTGTTCAAGGGTATTATCTGTGTGTGTGTGTTGTGTGTGTGTGTTTGTGTGTAAGTGTGCCTGGGTGCATCTGTATATGTTCCATTAGAGGTAAAGCATCTTGCGATATATTTTATGCTACAAATGACCAGTGAAATCCTCCAATTTCTGGACACCTTCTTTTTGCAAATCCCCAGAGGGAAAACAACAAAGAGGAAAAAGTGGTCATTCCCCTCTAGAATATTTTTTTTAATCCAAATATAAGGCAGATTGCATTTAAAAAACAGGGAATAATATCCATTGAGAGTGTGTTACAAAATAGCAATTTTTGGAGGCAAGAATCAGTGTCTGGGGGCACAAGGCAGTACTGCGGGCTTTGGAGAAGATTTTGTCAAGGATGTGACTATTATGGGCTGAATTGTGCCTCCCCCCATACCAATTCATATATTGAAGTCTTAGTTCGCAGTACTTCAAAATGTAACTTTATTTAAAGATAGGGACTTTAAAGAGGTAATTAATATAAAATAAGGTCATTGGGGTGAGCTCTAATCTAATATGACTGGTATTCTTAGAAGAAGAGGACACTGGGATGCAGTTATGTATGGAGGGACAACCATGTGAAGAGCCAGAGAGAAGACATCCATCTACAAATCAACAATTCAGGCCTTAGGAGAAACCAATACTACCAGCACCTTGATCTTACACTTCTCCACTCCAGAACTGTGAGAAAATAAATTTCTGTTGTTCAGGTTACTCAGTCTATGGCACCTTGTTACAGAAGCCCTGGAAATTAAATATACTGACCTTCAAGGATGGATGTATAAGCAAAGGGGAAAATTTATAAGGATTCTGAATAGAGACATCTCTCTAGAGTAACTAAATATTAAGAGAATTTATATGACTGATCGAAGCTCGTTAAATAGGGCAATTTCCAGTATCATCTATAAGGTTACAGAGGTGCTTTTGCTCCTGTCTGTAATTTATAGGTTTGAATCAATTTTCTGAAATCCAGAGATGACTAAGCAAAGGTAGTAAGCCTTTTTGCAATAGGCATATAAAATAGCTTGTTGATTTTCTTATAATTCCTTTCATATTATCTATAGGCACTCTAGATTTGCACTAAAGCACAATATCCCAGGAACTACATGTAGATAATACAAGGGCCAAGATCGAGTGGAATTTACTTATTCAACCAGAGATTCAGAGGCAGAGTCCTGGGGGAAAACGAATACAGAAACCGAAATCATATGGAAAGCAAAAGCCAACAGTTTAAAGCAGAATTGAGAAATTAGGGCGTAAAGCAAAGTGCTGAAAGATGTGTGTTGAAAAAAGGTGTAGGTTTCAAGAATGAGGCACAGTCAGCCCTTTCTATCTATGGATTCTGCATCCATGGATTCAACCAACCTTGGATCAAAAATATTCAGAAAATACAAAAGATGCTTGTGTCTTTACTAAACATATGCAGACTTTATTTTTCCTTGTAATTATTCCCTAAACAATACAGTAGAACAACTATTTATATGGCATTTACATTGTAGTCAGTATTGTAAGTAACCTACAGATGATTTAAGTTACATAGGGGATGTGCATAAGTTATATGCAAACACTATACCATTTTACATAGGGATTGGAGCATCCATAGATTTTGGTATCCAAGAGGGGGGGGGGGTCCTGGAACAAATTTCCCATAGATACTAAGAGACGACTGTGTTGTGTTTTCATTATAATAATTTTTATTGGTCGATATTTTATAATAGTACCTAGCACTTATTTGTAGTGGCAAATACATACTTAGTAAATCAATCAATCAACTTTTGTTTTTGTTAGTTCTTCCTTATTATATTAAAACAGGATTTGTATCCAGGAACCACCCATTGCATTCCATCTGATCCTTATTGTCTTCCATAGACAATGGGATTTGAATAATTCAAAAAAAAAAGTAAAGACAGACTGATTCAGATTTACAATTTTTGATTCTCTGTAACTTGCAATTACGCTGTAACCATTGATTTATGTATTTACTCCTTATAACACTGTAAAAATTGGTGGCAGGTCAATGATTAATTCTTGTTTGCATACCCAGACCCTAAACTGACCTCAAGCATGTCGGAAGGTAGAATAGCTTTAGATTAAGATATGCCCTTTGAAGTCAACAGATTTTGCTCGAAATTTGGTCCTGCCATGTTCTTTTATTTACCTTGAGGTAATTGACTCAACTTCTAACCCTCAGTTTCCTTAGAAATATAGGATAACAGTAATATCGTCTTCAAAGGGTCGCACCTAAGCTAGCTTCCTCCCAAAAGCAGATTCTGAAAGGAGATTTCAAGCAGATAGTTTATTTTGTGATGAAATCCTAAGGAACCTGAGCTGAATTGGGGAACAGAACGGAAAGCCAGTCCAAGGCTTTATTATCAAGCTGGTCGCTACCGCTCGTTGACTGCCAGGTTTGTACATTTGCATATGCACCAGAATGGCTTAATGGTTTGCTGCAAGACTATCCCACAACTGGGGCAGAGAGCCCCTCGTAAGGAAACTGGTTGTTGTAACAAACGATGGAGTAAAAAGTGGGTCCATAGGAACCAAGAGATGTTAAATTTGGCTGTTTTGAGGATAAAATGTCGTAATGATTAACAAGTAGAGATACTCAAAGACCATGGTTAATTTTTTTTAATAAAACCTCAGTCAGTGAAAGAATATGCTGCTGTCTTTTATTCCCCCACCATAGCAGTGAAGTCTTTGATTCAACAGACTTAGTCTTTAATGAAAATTTTAATGAAAAATTTGCCACATACCTGGAACGTAGTCTTGAATAACAAAATGTATAACTACATGGATTTGGGTGTCAGACAGATATGGGTGTGAATTCAGACTTCCTTTTCATAACTCATCAAACAAGCTACTTACTTCTGTGATTCCTGTATTCTTCATTTGTTTAAAAAAAATCCACTTAAAAAATTGGAAGTTTATTATTTTTAAGTTAAGCATATATTAATCCTATTGTGTCCAGAATTGGTTCCTTCTGGTGGGTTCTTGGTCTCGCTGACTTCAAGAATGAATCCGCAGACCCTTGCGGTGTTACAGTTCTTAGAGATGGTGTGTCCAGAGTTTTTTCCTTCAGATGTTCAGATATGTCCGGAGTTTCTTCCTTCTGGTGGGTTCATGGTCTTGCTGACTTCAGGAGTGAAGCTGCAGACCTTCGCAGTGTTACAGCTCTTAAAGCCGGCACATCCGGAGTTGTTCGTTCCTCCCCGTGGGTTCGTGGTCTAGCTGGCTTCAAGGGTGAAGCTGCAGACCTTCACAGTGAGTATTACAGCTCATAAAGGTAGTGCGGACCCAAAGAGTAAGCAGAAGCAAGATTTACTGCGGAAGAGTGAAAGAATAAAGCTTCCACAGCATGGAAGGGGACCCCAGCGGGTTGCCATGGCTGACCCAGGTGGCCAGCTTTTATTCCCTTATTTGGCCCCACCTGTATCTGCTGATTGGTCCATTTTACAGAGCACTGATTGGTCCATTTTACAGAGTGCTGGTTGGTCCGTTTTTACAGAGTGCTGATTTGGTACGTTTACAAACATTTGACTAGACACAGAGTGCTGATTGGTGCATTTACAATCCTTTAGCTAGACAGAAAAGTTCTCCAGGTGCCCACCCAATTAGCTAGACACAGAGCGCTGATTGGTGCATTTTTACAGAGTGCTGATTGGTGTGTTTACAAACCTTTAGCTAGACACAGAGCACTGATTGGTCCTTTTACAATCCTTCAGCTAGACAGAAAAGTTCTCCAAGTCCCCATCCGCCCCAGAAGCCCAGCCGGCTTCACCTCTCACTATGGACCAACAATTTCATTCCTAGAAGTATACCTACGAGAAATAAATGCGTATATCCACAAAAAAGACTTGTATAAGAAGATCCTTTGCATTTTACTGCATGTTTAAAATTATTGTTTTCTCTATGTTATGCAAGCTTCATTATATGGTTCATGCAAAATACAAAAAGTCACAAACTATACAAAACTAAATAAAAGAAGAAGTTAGTACATTATAAAGTTGTATGAGGATTAGGTGGAATCATGGATGTAAAATGCTTAATACATAGCTTTCAATAAATGATAGTTATTATTTTGTCAGTATGATCATCAACTCTGAAGGGACAAATATAAATATTTTCAAATTTTTTATGATGGCCAAAATCACTGTAAATACTATATTTAAAATTTTGTTTTCTGTTAATAATTGGCCCCAAACTGACTATACTTGAGAATAATATATAATACATACACACACACATGCATACCTCTGATTCATTCATTCATTCTCCATCTGTTTATATATATTCATTCATTATTTCCAAAATTTGTAGAATCAAAATCTCACGGATGGAGCCTGGATTGAATCTCTGTATCTAGACAAAATTCTGTGTTTCTTATATGCATCTGGACAAGGGACTTACTTAAAAGTCAAATATCAAACATTAACCAACAGAATAAAGGGAAGGCCCAAGCCCCTTTTTAACCTTTATCTTATTTTAAGCTAATGGGCCTTAATTGCAATCATTTTCTTAGAATTTAAGTCACAATAAAAGTAATCTAATCTAGGCACTTGATAGATTTTTATTCTTCTTCACCCTATGCAAATGTTTTAGTCCAGAGTAATTATGTTTCTTTCTATTGCATTTTCCATGCATTTTTCATGATGCTTCAGTTTAATGTGGATTTATCTTTTGAGGACTGGTCTTATGCAGTTTAATACAATTGTTGTAAGTGTAGTGTACTTAAAATTATAATTCTATTCATACAAATGTGTTTAGATTATATAGTTTATTAAAAATTTAAAGTTATTTATAATTTATAAAACAAATATAACAATTTTAAAGAAAAATTAGAAAACAGAAATATTTGAACTTTGTGTTACTCTCAAAAAAGTATTTTTAAATATTGCTTAATGTCTGAGATGACTAACAGTGAATCTTATGGGGCAGGAATTAAGATCCTTGCCCCAATATCTAATAATATTCTTTACATTCATGTTTGAGGAATTAACAATAAGACACAACTCTCCCTCAAGATAGATAACAAGACATTTATAAAGTACAAGAGTACTTTATAAATATACTTCTTCAAATACAAATGACAGTGAAAAACACATTAATTAGTAACTAGAAATAAAATTTTGAGTAAATAAAAATGTCAGAAAACAATAATAAATTTTGCTCAGTCATGAAACATTCAATGAACGTCTCCAGAGTGTACAAGTTATTGGTGTTGGTAACAGGACATAAATCAGAAACAATTCTGCTCCTGAGGAGCTTTCAGTCTAGTAGAGGAAATAAGATGTGTATCCCTGTACACCCACATCCATACACACATGGTTCTTAAAAAGGAAAATGGGCCAGACATGTTGGCTCACACCTGTAATCCCAGCATTTTGGGAGGCCGAGGCGGGAGGATCACCTGAGGCCGGGAGTTCAAGACCAGCCTGGCCAATATGGCGAAACCCTGTCTCTACTAAAAATACTAAAAATTAGGCAGGTGTGGTGGTGGGTGCCTGTAATCCCAGCTACTCAGGAGGCTGAGATAGGAGAAACACTTGAACCCAGGAGGCGGAGGCTGCAGTGAGCTGAGATTGTGCCATTGCACTCCAGCCTGGGCAACAAGAGTGAAATTCCATCACACACACACACGCGCGCGCGCGCGCGCGCACACACACACACACACACACACACACACACACAGAGAGAAAAAAGGAAAACGGTGAACTTAATATAAAGAGGGCCAAATTAAACAGTATGGTTATTCATGCTACTATGCAATTCATTACGGCTTTGTGGAATTTGTAAATGTAAACATTATTCGTAATGTTTACTTTTAAAAAGGGAGGAGAGGCTGGGTACAGTGGCTCATGCCTGTCATTCCAGCACTTTGGGAGGCTGAGGGGGGTTGACCACTTGAGGTCAAGAGTTCGAGCTCAGCCTGGCCAACATGGTGAAACCCTGTACCTACTAAAAATACAAAAATTAGCCAGGTATTGTAGAGCACGCCTATAATCCCAGCTACTAGGGAAGCAGTAGCAGTAATCTAGTTATTTATGACCATGGACGAATCTCTTTCAAGTTTGCCCCCCATAAAACAGAGTATGAGTGTGTGAAGGGGTTAGGGTGGGGTAAAGGGGTCTTCAATTGTACTTTAATAACCAAAACAATCCAAGAAAAGAACTCTCAGTAACTGAGGGAGAAAAAATGTGAGTCATATCTGACTTTTCTTAAATCAACTTCAAAAGGAAATAAAATTGTTTTAGTTAAAGTTTTAGTTTTAGTTAAACAAAGTGACTGATGGCTGGCCTGTGGAGTTTTGAGACTTGTACTCACTGCCTTATTAAAGAAACTTGTGTAGTAAATTGAATGCAGCCAAGGAAGTGGATATCTGTTTTGATGTTTGACCAAGAACTTTCCTAAGAGTGTTTGTGTTATTGACATTATTAGTTTTACTGTAATGGAAGCCCTAGAATTGTAATTTTCTGTTATACAAATTTAGAAAGGATTATGAGAATTAATAGGACTCTTCAGTATGATGGCTGGTTAAAAAATTAGTAACTTAATTAAACACTGGGAAACATACAGAGAAATACATACAAGCCTTACATGAAGAAAATGCCAAACGTTATTAAAACGTTCAAAAGATAGGCTGGGTGAGTTGGCTCACACCTATAATCCCAGCACTTTGGAAGGCTGAGGTGGGAGGATCGCTTGAGCCCAGGAGTTTGAGACCAGCCTGGCTATTAATTGATAGATAGGCTTTAACATTACATATAATTCAATATTATTGACATAGTCTGTAATATAAAGACAATATTTTCCCCAAATTAATTTGAAAAATAGTGATAATTATGAACAAATTCTCATTAGTATAATGTTTCAGACCTTGGTAGCCTAATTCAAAAATTTATTTCAGATATGAATGCTTCAGAAGAGTCAATACTTTTTAAAATTGAGGTATAAAAAAGGGAGACTGCATTAAGCAATATTTTTTAGCTATGGTAAAATTATTCCACAATTAACACATCAATAAACAGATGTCATTGTTTAAAGAATTTATTATTCTCGAATAAATTCAAATATTATTCTCGAATTTATTCTCGAATGAAGAACAGATTGTATATTAAGGATGTTGGGACAGTTGTGTATTTATTTGTAAGGGAGAAAAACTAGATGTTTTTACTCTTATACTATATTAATTTGCCAAGGTTAACATAAGAAATACCAGGGACGGGGTGGAGTAAACAGCAGAAATGTTTCCTCACAGTTCTGGAGACTAGGTCCAAGATCAAGATAACAGCAGAGTTGGTTTCTTCCAAGGGTCTGTCTCCTTGTCTTGCAGATGGATGCTGTCTCTCTGGTTCTTGACATGGTCTTCTGTACATGTCTGTGTCCTAATCTCTTTTTATAAGGTCACCAGCCATACTGGATTAAGGCCTACCCATATGACATCATTATATTTTACTATTTTGAAGGCTCTGTCTTGAAATGCAGTCACATTATGAAGTACTGGGTGTTAGGACTTCAACATACAAATTTTGAGAGGACATGGTTCAGCCCATAGCATAAACTATGCCAAAAAATGTTCAAGATAAATTACAGAATAAAATAAACTGTGAAAAAATGAATATAAAACTGTTAAATAACAAGGAATAAAATTTAGGTAAATATTTATTCAATCTTAAAGTATCAGAAATGTTTGTAAATATAGGTTCAAAGGCAGAAAACATAAATGAAAAGATTTAAGTATATAAATGAGTGAAAATTTTAAATTTCTAGACATGAAACCAATACCATATATGTGATGAAACAGCAAAGTGAAACTGGTGAAAATACTTGCAATGTATTTTATGAGTTTTTTTTTTTTTTTTACTACTGCATGATGCTTAAGAAGAGAAAAAGATCAAATTGAAGAAGAAAAAATTGACAAAAAAAGGCAATTTATAAGTAAAGAAAAGCACATGACATATTCAAATGGGTAAATTGTTTAGTCTTACTGAGAACAAAATTAATGAAATTTGAAACAATTTGGGGAAAACAATTTTAATCAATAATTTGGGAAAGATTTTGATACTGAAAAGTTTAAATACAGAAACATTTTAATAGCTATTACTATACATGGATGAGGCAGTATTAATTTACATAATATTTTGAAGGTCAATTTGACAATATATACCAAAAGTTTTAGAATTCTTAAAATGTTTTTACCTATCAGTTTAATTCTACAAATGTATCCTAAAATAATCAGATAAACCTATGTATAAAAATATATCATACATTGTACAACTTTGTTCCTCTATGGGCATAATGTAACGGGTCTAAACATAAGCAATGGCCTTTAGTTGTGGAATTTTTCATAATTTTAATGTATTATATGCTTTTACATATTTTGTAAACTATCTACAGCACATTTTACAATAGGAAAATAATATTTTGAAATGTGACAATTTGGAGGAAGATTAGATTACTTGAAACTAAGGAGATTTGGAAATTGTTTACATGGGAGATGACATTGGCCTTTTTTTTTTTTTTTTTTTTTTTTTTGAGAAGGAGTCTCACTCTGTCGCCCAGGCTGGAATGCCAATGGCAACAATCTCGGCTCGTCGCAACCTCCGCCTCCCGGGTTCAAGCAATTCCCCTGCCTCAGCCTCCCAAGTCGCTAGGACTACAGGCATGCTCCACCACACCTGGCTAATTTTTGTATTATTAGTAGAGGCAGGGTTTCCTTATGTTGGCCAGGGTAGACTTAAACTCCTGACCTCGTGATCTGTCCACCTTGGCCTCCCAAAGTATTGGGATTACAGGCGTGAGCCACCATGCCCAGCCAACATTGGCCTTTGATTTAAGTGAAATTTATAGAGATGTAACAGCAGAGTATTTGAGACAAAGAATATAGAACAGATTTTCATGGAGCATAGGTTAGTATATTTTTTCTGAGCATAGCATATGACTGAGATTAGAAGAACCCAATCAGAATAGTTGGTTGAGATGAGATAACAGAAATCCTTGAAATTCTAGAACAGCCTGACTGAGAAGGTGGTACAAAGAAGCAGGTTAGATTAGAAGGCTGGTGCAGAGGTTTCCTTGAGAGGTGTGAGGACCATAGGATAGCAGAAGAGTGAACACATTGAAGGGAGCTTGGGTGTGCGTGGTATGGATGTAAAGCAAAGGACAAGGAAGGAGTCAATGGTAACGCAAGTTTTAGGAACAGAGAGAGGGAAAATGCAGATATAAGGGAAAAGCATTAGCATTCATTGGCCAATCTCATCAAGTGCTGTGATTCATGCCCTCAACACCACTGGATAGATGCTATTTTTGTCCATATTAAGCAAATGCCTAGGTCACTGCTAGTAACGAGGAGAGGATTCAAATCCATGTCTATTTTTTAACTTGTTATACATAATCCATGCACTTTATGATTTAGAGTTAAAATAATCTGAAATAATGTTGACTGAATATGTTAATTCCTGTTCTGCATTTTTCATGTTATGTTACCTCAAAATTATATTTTAAGTGCAAAGATTGAAGTTCAAGGGCATTACTGAAATTTTAGATGTTTTAAACCATGCAGATCTTTACAGTTTCATTGCATTTTAGATCATCTGGACTGTTTTTGTCTGTTTCCTTCTGCATGATAAATGCAGAGCCGAATGCTAATATCCTTAGGCAAGGTCTTACTGTAAATATATATATAGCAAGTTGTTGCCAAGAAAAAGCTTTTGATGAGACTAGAAAATTGTGACAGCGAACAGAATAAACTATAGGACTAATTACATTAAATGTGGAACTTTAATTAAGCTTAACATTTTCTGTTTCAATTACTCTTAGTTCCTTTTTTTTTTTTTTTTTTAGAGGGAGTTTTGCTCTTGTTGCCCAGGCTGGAGTGCAATGGTGCCATCTTGGCTCACTGCAACCTCCGCCTCCCAGGTTCAAGCGATTCTCCCACCTCAGCCTCCCGAGTAGCTGGGATTACAGGCACCCACTACCACACTTGGGTAGTTTTTGTATTTTTAGTAGAGACGAGGTTTCACCATATTGATCAGGCTGGTCTCGAACTCCTGACCTCAGGTGATCCACCTGCCTTGGCCTCCCAAAGTGCTGGGATTACAGGCATGTGCCACTGCACCCGGTCAGAATTACTATCAATTCCCTAGTTCAATTGATTCTCCTCACTCAGCCTCCTGAGTAGCTGGGATTACAGGCACCTGCCACCACACCCAGTTAGTATATATATATACACATACATATATATACACACGCATATATATACATATATATATACACACACACATATATATACATATATATACACATATATACATATATATACACATATATATGTACATATATACACATATATATGTACATATATACACACATATATACATATATACACACATATATACATATATATACACACACACATATATATATTATTTATTTATTTATTTATTTGAGACAGAGTCTCGCTCTGTTGCCTAGGCTGGAGTGCAGTAGCGCATTCTCGGCTCACTGCAAGCTCTGCCTCCCGGGTTCACACCATTCTCCTGCCTCAGCCTCCCAGGTAGCTGGGACTACGGGCGACCGCCACCAAGCCCGGCCAATTTTTTTTGTATTTTTAATAGAGATAGGGTTTCACCATGTTAGCCAGAATGGTCTCAATCTCCTGACCTCATGATCCGCCCGCCTAGGCCTCCCAAAGTGCTGGGATTACGGGCGTGAGCCACCGCGCCCAGCCTATATATTTTTTTTCAGTAGAGATGGGGTTTCACCATGTTGGCCAGGATGGTCTCCATCTCCTGACCTCGTGATCCACCCTCCTTGGCCTCCCAAAGTGCTGGGATTACAGGCATGAGCCACCACGCCTGGCCTCTATTAGTTCTTAAAAGCATTGTGTACATATATTTTTTATTGTATGTGAAAATAATCTATAACACTATCTAACATTGTATTTTTCTTATACAATTAGATAACTACAATATAAAAGCCAGTGGACTTTTCAGAAAGGCCCAATTGTTTTCTTTGCCTTTGATTTAAAAAAGAGGTGAATAACCTAAAAATTATGTCTTATAATACTAAATTGCTCATTATAAAAAATTGCAACAAAACAACAACAAAAAGCTAAGTCCACGCTAGTAAATGGGATATAGTTGAAGGTTGCATTTTCACTTTTAAGTTGATTGGTATCACATGAATAAAGCAAAAAACACTGTTCAGAAACCACCTATTTTTAGTCCCTTTTTTGTACGATAATCTCCTCAAATCCCTATTATTAATGTTTTGCAAAGGACACAGAGCAATGCAATCCTTACAATGTAAAAACAATTTTAATACAATATGAATGATATTAACAACTGTAATAATGATAATAATTTTAAACAAATCACACTTGGCGTTTCTTGTCATTCATCTACCATGTACAAATGTCTGAAAAAAAAAAAAAACTCTCTAGATGCTAACCAGCATTCATCATGAAAATTGTACCCTGCCTTCTTTGTAATATGCTTTGGCCCTTGGGAGACTGGCACTTTAAAAAATATATTGAAACAAAAGAAAACAAACATATCTAGCCCAATTTGAGATCTTTTCTTTAAAATGAAGTCAAGAAGTTCCTTGTAAAATTTTTTTATTACAAGAATCTAAAATTTACATATATCTAAATGTAATCAGGTGCTAAAACTGTGGGCATTGGTTTGCCGGTGTCTTTCTAGTTTCAGGATCTCTGTTTTTAAGGTATAAACAGACAATGTTAAATGCAGAATAATTTAATTTAAATGAATGTCAAAATTTAAATCTATCAGTCTTACTCCCTGTAAGGGACAGCACTGTGTGGTCTTGATATTTGAAATCAGCTAGATCTTGGCTTATAATCCAGGCTTCATTGATTACTTTCTGCGTGAAGTTTCGCTTTTTAATTGATCTCTCAGTCTTATTACTTTTATTTTTAAAATAGTAGTATGAATGTCCACCTTGCAGGGTTGTGGTAAAGATTAAATGAGATAATTTGTAGAAAAAGTATAACATTTACAAGTGCGCATTAAAGGATAGCTTTTGTTGCATCTAATAACTTGATGATGGATAATATAGAAAGCCACACTATGAAACAAAATTAATGATTCATGTGGTTTATGAATTTCCTTTTAACATTAAACTTTAGCACTCTTAGATGCTGGGACTAACAGACCTTTCTTTTCTTGTTGATCGGGGCTTCCTTTCTACACTGACTGACTGACTGTTTTCCTTAACTCATAACCTGATTCATGAACCATGGGGTCAAGCTCACACTGTGTTAAAAGCCATTTTATTTGGGGTTTTGATTTGTGTGCGGTGTGAATATAAGATTCTTCTCTTGAATATTTAGAATTTTCTGTGGGCAGTAGAAATCCCACTAATGTCCTTGAGAGCCCATCAACTGTGACAAAATCATCCCACAGAGCACCACCATACAGGTTGAGATTTGCTTGCTTTGTGCATCACGAAAGCAAATTAAATATAAAGATAAATCATATAAAGGGGTAAAATATTGCTTTAATAGAGTGGTACTCTATGATGCCACAAGTTGTGTATGGAAATTAAAATTGAGATTTCTATCAATTATCTAATTTCTCATTTTCAATTGCAAATCAGTTGGCTGAGATTTTAGTAAATTTGAACAATTTTAGCAGAGAATCTGCAAATCATCAACTGAATGTGGCTCTAAGCCTAATGGAGGCGATGTTTCTCCCATTCATTATATTACACTTTGATGGCATGTGGCCTTTATCTTTGAAATCCTTTCCTTCCAGTTGCCCATTCACTCAATCCTATTTCCCATCGATCCTTTTGTCATTTCTTCTCTCATACTTTCTCATCATTGTTGTTTCTGCATACTGCACAAGATTAGAGATGGGCTATTGGGCTTCCGCAAGTTTAGAAAATGAGTTTCTGAAAATGTTCTGTCAAAAAAAATATTTCCAGGCTGGGCACAGTGCCACATGCCTATAATCTCTGCACTTTGGAAGGCCATGGTAGGGGGATCACTTGAGTTCAGGAATCGGAGACCAGTCTGGGCAACATAGAAAGACCTTGTCTCTAAAATAATAAAAATAAATAGCTGCACATGGTGGCATGTATCTGTAGTCCCAGCTGCTTGGGAGGCTGAGGCAGGAGGATTGCTTGAACTCAAGAGTTCGAGACTGCAGTGAGTTATGATTGCACCGCTGCGCTCCAGCCTGTGTGACAGAGTGATATTCTCTCTGTCTCTTAAAAGAGAATTTCCAAAATGCAGGTATTTAAGGAGAATGTTAATTAGGTTGCTTAAAACATTTAGACCAAGGAAATAAAGATGTATAAATACATTGTAATATAATTAGTATAGCCTAAAAGTTTAGCAAACTTGACTATATAATTAAGATTTAATTTGTTTATATTTCCTGTAATGTATTCCTCATACATAGTGGAGTTTTTAAGTATATGTTGCTTTTCTTGGTAATCACATTATCATTATGCTTCACCATGTGACTTGCTCTGGCCAGTGAATGTGAGCAGAGATGACTCACCACTTGTGAGCAGAAGATGCGGGATGCAGTTGTAGCCACTCTGCAAAGCACGTGTAATAAAAACGAGAAACACATTTTTGTAATTATAAACAAGGAAGATTTCGAAACTATTTGCCACTGTAGTATCACTTAAATAGAGCTGGCCAATTCAAGATTGTCTGATGAGACTGGCCTAAAGTCAGTAAATAAAATCCTATTATGAGGCCGGGCGTGGTGGCTCATGCCTGTAATCCTAGCACTTTGGGAAGCTAAGGTGGGCACATCACCTGATGTCAGGAGTTCAAGACCTGCCTGGCCAAAATGGTGAAACCCTGTCTCTACTAAAAATACAAAAAAAATAGCCTGGCATGGTGGTTCATGCCTGTAATCCCAGCTACTCAGAAGGCTGAGGCAGGAGAATCACTTGAACTTGGGAGGTGGCTGTGCCAGTGAGCTGAGATCGTGCCACTGCACTCCAGCCTGAGCAACAGAGCAAGGCTCAGTCTCAAAAAACAAAACAAAACAAAAACACACACAAAAAAAAAACCTGTTACGAAATGCCAAACAACAAAATGTGTTCTACAGGTAGTAAGAACATTTTATTCTCTTTATTCCATATAGACATATATCAGCCATCCTTTGTATCGTAACTTAAAATCCGTGGTCTCTGCCAAACATGATTGATTCTCCTGAGTAATCTTTTCGTATTCCAAATATTGAAAACACTTCATGTATGTGTCCCTAATGTCCTTAAGAGGTTTATTTCATTGTTTTTTATTTATGTCTCTCACTAAGTGAGGATCTTGTGCCCCACTTCGGGCTTAGCATAGTGCTTGCCCTGCAATTATTGCTCAGTAAATAAATGTGCAAAAGATTTATTGACTAACGCTGTGGATGAAGAGATCTGAATCCTTACGTTCTATGTGCTTAATAATCGAAAATTGTAATATAAATTTTTCAGCAACTTAAAATATCCCAGTGGTACTCTACTGATTGTGACAATAAAGAAAAAAAATTATTCAGAGTGGCTAGACTATCTTCATTCTCTTTAATACTCTGTTTCATTTTATTTTTGTTTACTAGTGAAAGATTTCAGTCTCTTCTGAAGCCGATAGTGATCTAGGAGGATAATTTTCAGGGCAAAATTTGGGAGAAACAGAAAGGTGAGAGAACATGGAAGCTTCAAAAATAAAAAGCTGAGGAACTATTGATATTTAGTCAATGAGGTTACTTGATTCTGTATTATACTGATTAAAAGAAATAGGGATAAAGAGCAAGAGAGATGGAGGAGAAAAAATGGAAAGGAAGAAGAGTCATGGACAAGGATGAGCTACCTCCTAATGCCAAATGTATATGTCCTGTTAAGAATAAAATGGTCAACAAACTTGCAGAATATATAAACAGATTAATCACAAAATCTAGAGCTGTCCATGTGGATGCAGAGGGTATATTATAAAAATGTCTGTGAAGGGGTTGGTTTTAGTATTTATGGGTGTATGTAGCCTCCAGAGGGCTCTTTAGAGACACCTTCCTTTGTTTATCTGTTTGTTTTCCCAAAATTATCACAAGAATATATCCCACAAATATATTATCCTTCCACAAGAATATTACCAGACAGTTGTAAAAAAACTATCATTTATTGATCACTTATTCTGTGTCAAGTATATCACTATGGACTTCGTGAGTAGTATTTTATTTTATTCTATTTTATTTTATTTTATTTTATTTTATTTTATTTTATTTTATTTTATTTTATTTTATTTTATTTTATTTTATTTACTATCCCCAATAATGCTTTGAAGTAGGTATCATTTTTTTCAATCACAAATTATAAAGCAGTCTATAAATTTCTGTTTCCTGTACCCTCAAGACTACTGAATGTTATCAATTATTTTCATCTTTGTCAATCCGATAGTGGGAAAAAAATCTATCTTAGTTTAACTTTAATTTGGAATTGTCTTATCATGAGGTTGAGAATGTTTTCACATGTTAAAGGACCATTTGTATTTCTGTATCTGTGAGTTTACTTTTAATGAATTTTAAAATATTTATGGAGTATATCCTATGTACTAGAAGATTGGTGTGTATTGCTGAGTGAACCAGACAAGGTGCGTGCCCTTAAGTAGCTACTGGAATTATGGCAAATACAGAAAACAGAGATACTAATACATGGAAAAACACACTTTGTATATGGGAGGCGTGGAGGAAAGGGGATGTGTTTAGGTAAGTGGACAAGATGGCCTCTCTGAGAAGATGACATCAAAGAGGAGAGTTGAAGGATGAAAAGGGGCAGCCTTGTGGAGAGTCAGGGAAATGATGAGCAAAGTCTTTGAGATAAGAAAAAAAAAAAGTGCCTTGGAAGAATTAAGAGAAAATCAGCATGGCCGTAACATACTATGAGTTGAATAGAATGACGTGAGATGAAGTGGTAGAGATAGGCAGAGGCCAGCAGAGTTGTGTTGTATTTCAAAGCACATAGCTCACAGTAAAGAGTTTGTCTTTTATTCATGGTACAGTGGAAAAAAAGTCATTAAAGTAGAGCTGCCAGATAGAACACAGAATACCGGTGAAATTTGAATTTCAGATAATTGATGAATACTTTCTTAGTATAAGAATATCCCAACTATTTCATGGAACACACTTACACTAGGAAAGTATTCATTGTTTATCTTAAATTCAAATTTAATTGGTTATCCTGCATTTTAATTTGTTAACTCTGGCAACCATACGTTAAAGATTTTAAGCAAGAGAGTAATGTAATCAGATATATGCTTAAGAAGTTTAAAAAACTCTCCTAATGTCACAAAAACTAATAAATGTCAGAGTCAATGTTTGAACCTCGATCGTTGGACATCAGAGAATATTCAAATGTTATCCTAATTACTCTGCTATACATTTGTCTATAAATATTTTCTAGGATACAGATGATATCATGAAAAGCAGTGAATGTGTAGTCCATAATTTAGCATACAACTAAAACTTAGGACAGAAAATTTAAGAGGGGAGTTCAGAAGTACACAGATTTATCAGTTTGAGACACAAGAAGCTTTAGGAATGTATACTTGCAGAGGATAGTGTAGAGATATTACTGGAAACAGGAGTGGAAGGTGGAGAATTGCACAGCTAGACCACTATCTCTCCCCATCCCATTTGGAAGACTTTACAGTCTAAGCTACTTTGGGCTTCAAGATAACTATGCATAGGTAAGGGCTGGCTGGTATGAACGGCCAAAACAAAACAAAACAAAAAAAACACTGTAAACAAATAGAAAGACAAAAATGAACTGGGAAAAATATACATTTGTAATTGAGATCACAAAGGGTCTTAGTTGATTCAGGCTGCTGTAACAGAGTATTATAGACTGGGTGGCTTATAGTAACAGAAACTTATTTCTCATGGCTTTAGAGGCTGAGAAGTGCAAGAATAAAGGGCTAGAAGATTCAGTGTCTGGCGAGAGCCTACTTCCTGGTTCATAGATGGCCATCTTTTCACTCCCTCTGACCTCTTTTATATGGGCACTAATCCCATTGATAAGGTCTCTGCCCTCATGACTAATCACCTCCCAAGGTCCCCACCTCCTCATCCTCTCACACTGGGAATGAGGTTACAAAATATAAATTCGGGGGAGAACACACATTTAGTCTTTAGCAGTTACTTTCATATTTTCTAAAAATGGCAACAGCCAAATTAAAAAAAAAAAAAGAAAGAAAAGGCACGATTCTAAGCCAATTCACAGATATGGAAATACAAATGGTCATTTAACATATGAAAACATTCTCAACATTATTATAAGACAATGGCAAATTAAGACTAAATTACGATAGAATTTTTTCCACTATCAGATTGACAAAGATGAAAATAATTGATGACATTCAGTATTGTTGTGTGTATAGGAAACAGAAATTTTTGGATTGTTATGAGAGTATTAATCTCTAAATCTTCTATAGATGACAATCATGTATCAAAAAAAATTTTTATTATACTTAAGCTCTGGGATACATGTGCAGAACGTGCAGGTTTGTTACGTAGGTGTATATGTGCCATGGTTGGTTGCTGCACCCATCAACCCGTCATCTACGTTAGGTATTTCTCCTAATGCTATCCCTCCCCTTGCCCCCCACCCCCTGACAGGCCCCAGTGTGTGATGTTTCCCTCCCTGTACCCATATGTTCTCACTGTTCGACTCCCACTTATGAGTGAAAACATGTGGTGTTTGGTTTTCTGTTCCTGTGTTAGTTTGCTGAGAATGATGGTTTCCAGCTTCATCCATGTCCCTGAAAAGGACATGAACTCATTCTTTTTTATGCTTGCATAGTATTCCATGGTGTATATGTGCCACATTTTCTTTATCCAGTCTATCATTGATGGGCATTCGGGATAGTTCCAACTCTTTGCTATTGTGATTAGTGCTGCAATAAACATACGTGTGCATGTATCTTTATAGAAGATGATTTATAATCCTTTGGGTATATAGCTAGTAATGGGATTGCTGGGTCAAATGGTATTTCTGGTTCTAGATACGAGCCCTTGTGCTTTCCGGGTGAGGCGATTCCCCACTCTGCTTCAGCTCACCCTGTGTGGGCTGCACCCACCGTCTAACCAGTACCAAGGAGATGAGCCAGTTGCGTCAGTTGGAAATGCAGAAATCACCCGCCTTTTGCTTTGGTCTCTCTGGGAGCTGCAGCCTGGAGCTGTTCTCATTCTGCCATCTTGCCCAAGAATCTCAAAATTATTGAGACATGTATATTTAAACCTGTCAATTCCACTTCAACTTATGAAAAACACTTATGACTGAAAATATATTTATTAAAGTTTATTTTGGCAAAAAATTGGGAACAACTTAAAGGTTCACTATAAAAGTATAAAAGGATAATATATAATCATAAAAAAATAGGGAAGCTCTTTTTGTATTGACATGAAATAATCCATTAGATATAAAGCTATGAGAAAACAGAACAAGATGCTAAGAGGCCAAAGGTATAATGACTTACGTAATAAAGGGGAAATAGATGTATATGAGATTGATACATATGTTATATATATATGTCTATGTATATATATGTTTACATATATAAGTATAAAAGATCACAGATCTGGCATGGTATTTGAGTAATGGATAACATTAGACGCCTGCACCAGCACAACTTGTTGGCTGGTGGCAAGGTTTGGAGGGAGACTGTCATTATACTCACTTTTATACCGCTTCAATTTGAAACCTTGTGTCAGTATTCTCTATTCAAACAAATGAGAAGTTTTAAATAATACCTTAAAAATGAGCCTCAGTAAAAATAATCACAAAGACATCATTTCATGCCCCAGTTTTCCTTTATGCATTTACATAAAAACCTAAAGAATTTGAGAATATCATAGAGATGTTGCCAGCTCTTTTGATGCTTTCTAGGTCTACAGGGGAAGCATGTGCACACACACACACACACACACACACACACGCACACACTAAACATAAAGCCCTTTTCCTAAATGACATAATTCAGGCAGATATGAATTTGAATTTTCATAGGTAGGAATCACATTTGGGAAAAGTAAATTAAGATCATGCCAGAGAATTGCTTATTCTTTGGGATCAGAAATCCCTTAGTTTGTATCTCAGCTTTGGAACTTACTAGCCATATAATCTTATGCAAGTTACTTATTTCTCAGAGCTTCAATTTCCTTATCTGTAAAATGGAGATAGAACTACCTCCTTTAGAGTGCAGCCATTTTAAAGTATCAAGCCAGGTGTTCGTAACAGGCACTTCATAAGTGGAATATTTTATTTTGCATTATCGCAAGACCTTTTCCTCCCTTTGCTAACACATATCAGTGCTCATTGCACAAATAACAGAGATAGAATTGAGATCCTATGAAATATAGCCTGATTTACTCTCTTTTTAATAATTTTATTAAAAATTCCAAACTTTAAGATTATCCAATAAAAAAATATTTAACACATTGCCTATGATTTGGGAAGTAACAGATTAACACATTGAGCACAGATTTTTAATGCTGTGTTTTCCAGACTGCTCTGGGAACATACGCCTCAGTAACACCACCTACAGGGTTGGAATCAGGCTCACTTTATTAAATTTGCAAGTTGGAATGTTTTATCTTTTGGTATTTTCCCACCTTCACTTCTACACCCTGCAGATCTCTACCTCTCTTCAAAGAATTCCCTTCTGAAAAATAGGTCAAACATTTACAGGTGGCTGGTTTTGTTTTCTGGGTTTGCAGTCTGAATGTTTATGAACTTGGGTAGAGCTCATTAAAGCTTCCTTTCTGCCTTTTATTATAAAAAGTTCAAATGACAGTACTTGAAGAACAGCTTCTGGCTAAATATTATTAAAATCCAAAGGCCAATAAGAAGAATCATTTGTTGGTCAAATCTATATTAATCTAACTTGTTATATTGTCTTAACAACATTCTCAAGAGCGTTTTTTCTGCTACTGAAAAGATTCATTTCAATAAACCAAACATACTCTATTTAAATGAGTGTACTTATGCTAGGCCAATTTCATAATTGTTCTAGAGAAAATAATCTCTCAATAGTCCATTCTGGCTAGACTGTTGTTTATCAAATAGAGTAGTAGAGTCTATTTAACTCTGAATATTACTTGATTTGAAAATCATAGCCCTTTTATTAATTAGCCCTGACTTGGTCTCGGAGGTGACAGTGATTTAATATGAGTCAAAATCTCATTATCTAAAACAAATTACTATGAAACCCCAGAATTGCAGAAAGCCATCCAAATTCCACTTAAATTATTACTATTGTTATCTGATATAACCAAAACCAAAGTGACAGCCAAGGAGTTCTTTTGAGTCCAATGACCTCTACTGCAAATCATGGGCAATTGAACTCCTGCCACGGACTCTCTCGGGCTGGGAAAACGTGCCATTTTTGCTCACCACGCACTCCCCTACAAAAACATATTTATTTCAAAGTATTTAGCCTCCTACTCGTTCTTCATGTCCCAGCTTAAATCATGCCTCTAAGAACTTCCTAATTATACTTCAAGTGCATTTTCCCTTGTTCCCTTCACACCCTGAAATTCTGCTCTCTAGCCCTCACTACAAGGACAATTAAACGAAATGAAACATATTTTATGTAATTATTTAAATATATCTCTTCTGTTGTTTAAGATCTTTGGAGAAAGAACTGAGTCAGTATTTTATCCTGAAATCTTTCATAAAACATTTTCATGCAAAGTTGATGAGATTTTTGGAATCAAATCCTTTCAAATGTTTTTTTTTTTTTTTTTAATGTAACATTGGGTGTTTGTTTCTGTCAGTTAAGCTGAAGGAATGAGACAGTCTCTGTGCCTGTTCTTATCTGAGCTCGCATGGTAATTCTCATGGTCAAAAAGAGAAGTATGCCTTTCTGACCTCTTTTTTTTTCCATGATGATTTCCATTTCTGGAAAGCGAAGATTCTGCAAATTTACATCCTTCCCTTTTAGGGTGCTTGACATATTGGGTCCTTCTACCTAACTCCATGATCTCATATGATCTCAATTTAAAGTTGATCTGCATTAAAAGCTCATGAAATACTGTAATCTGAAGTTAAGAAAGAACTACTCACATATCCACACATCCATCCATCCATCCATCCTCCATCCTTCTTGGCTCTTCTGCTCATGGAAGTCCCCTTATCACACAGCCTTGTCTTAAGGCATTTCTCTGGCAAGCATGTAAAACATCATCATAGATTTGAACATGACATTAAAAAGCAATGCATTTCTGAACAATTTCCCAAGTGATTTCCCCAAAGGAGCTATACATTATAAGTCTTGCAAGAGTGACATGTTATAATGAAAGCAGTTATTTTAGAAAGATATCTTTGCCAGTGGGAATGGACTAGATTGAAACAGAGAGACTCTGAAATCCGAAATCTGCTGAAGTCCAGACATGAAGTATTTTAGGGACTGGAAGTGCTGGACATAGAGGAAAAAGAATGAAACCTAGAGGTATTTTTGAAGGAAGTAATAACAGTACATGTTGATAAATTGGATATAAAGAAGCAAGATACAGCACTTTCCATGATTTTAATAATATTTAACATTTCAAAATGAAACAGTCTTACTATAGATTATTGAAAAATTCTCTCATCATTAATTTGTCCATTAGAGTTGTGGGTATGTGTGTGTGCATGCACATAGCCATTTACGTGTGTACATGTTAAAAGTAAAAAAAAAAAAAAAAGGTAATATTCGTTTCCTTATCCTAAGATCTGGATGAATGAACTCATCTTTCATTTTGCATCTTTTTAATCTTTAGGAACCTGTTGTTATAACAAAAGGTTAAAAGAGGCCTAGCATTTCTGATGGGTTTAATTTGGTACAAGAGAATACATTGCCAGCTCCTTCAGGTTTCATATGCTCTCCGTATTTATCACAAAGATATCACAACTTTGTTTGTTATTCCAACCTGCATCATTTTGTCCCCAGTGTATCCTCTCTGTCTTCTGAAGGCCGACAGAAACAGATTGAAAGGAGCTCACTTTGGCAGGCCACAATGTTGCATTTCACTGATTTCTGTGATACTTTAATAACAACCAGAACAAGGAAATGATCCTAACGTGGGCATCACTCTGAGGCTCTATAAAACATTTTAAAGCCATCTTTTGGCTGAAAGATATGAGTAATCACATTTCACTCAAGCAGGATTTATAGTTTAAAATATTCATTCACCAATTACCTTGTTAACCTGAAGATTTTATTTCTCTCCAGAAAACATTTATATGAATTTAGATGCTCAAATTTAGAGGTCATAATGGCATCCCTCTCGGAATTTACTTCATGGAACCCTTTTCAAACATTTGGTAATGTAATAGAATTCTATTTTGTGCTAAGTGAATTTTTTCTGTTGTACAGGAATTGTGGCTAAAAATATGCACCCTAATCTTGTAAGAGTCTATCTATAACAAGATAAACCTGAAATCTCAGTGCATCAACACAACAGATTTTTTTTTTTCTTTCACAAACTCCGGTTTGGACATGGTGGGAGATGGAGAGAGTGAATTGCTCCAACCACAGTTCAGAAAACAAGGCTGGCAGAGGTAATGCCATCTATGCCATGTGATGTCTAATACAACCCTGAGTGTTGACATTAAGCTGGGTTAAAGATTCTGCATTGGTGGCTTTAAACAATTTATCTTGTAAGAGGAACACATCAGTTCTATTGGCCAGAAATCTCATATTTATTCACCCCTAACTGCTAGGGAGGCTGAAATATTTATTCCAACCATGAGCCTAAAGAAACAGTGAGTGAGTTTCATGAAGTGATAGGTAGCCTATGCTACAAAAACTGATTCTTCCTTTTTTGCTTTCTACCTTTCTCTTTCCTTCCTTCCTCCCTTGGGTTTCATTTACCTTTCTTTTCCCATCTTCCTAAGCTAAAAGCGTGGATCATTGATTTTTAAACCTGTATTTCTTTTCCTAATATGTGTGTTTATAGTTATATTTTTTCCTCTGAGTACTCTTTTAGCTGCATCCTGCAGGTTGGATATGCTGTAATTTCGTTATTCTTCAATTAAAAATATTTTCTTAAATACAGAAGTTTTTGAAACCGGACCCCTTCCTTACACTATATGCAACAATTAACTCAAGATGGATTAAAGACTCAAATGTAAAACCCCAAACTACAAAAACTCTGCAAGACAACCTAGGTAATACCATTCAGGACACAGGCACAGGCAAAGATTTCATGATGAAGATGCCAAAAGCAATTGCAACAAAAGCAAAACTTCAAATTAAACTAAAGAGCTTCACGGCAAAAGAAACTATTAACAGAGTAAACTTTGTTATAATAAAAAGTAAACTTTTAGGTCAGGCACGGTGGCTCACACCTGTAATCCCAGCACTTTGGGAGGCCGAGGTGGATGGTCAGGAGTTCAAGACCAGCATGATCAACATGGAGAAACTCAGTCTCTACTAAAAACACTAAAATTAGGGCTGGGTGTGGTGGCTTATGCGTGTAATCCCAACACTTTGGGAGGATGAGGCAGGTGGATCACCTGAGGTCAGGAGTTCAAGACCAGCCTGGCCAACATGGTGAAAACCCGTCTCTACAAAAATACAAAAATTAACTGGCACTATGGCAGGTGCCTGTAATCCCAGCTACTTGGGAGGCTGAGGCAGGAGAATTGCTTGAACCCAGGAAGTGGAGGTTGCAGTGAGCCGAGATTGCACCACTGCACTCCAATCTGGGCGACAGAGCGAGACTCCATCTCAAAAAAAGACATGTGCGCACGCACACACACACACACACAAACTAGTCAAGTGTGGTGGCATGCGCTTGTAATCTCAACTACTAGGGAGGCTGAGGCAGGAGAATCGCTTGAACCTGGGAAGTGGAGGTTGCAGTGAGCCAAGACTGCGCCACTGCATTCTAGCCTGGGTGACAAGAGCAAGACACCATCTCAAAAAAAATAATAATAAAATAAATTAAAAGTAAACTTTTAGTTATATTTCAGAGTAACAAGACAACTACAGAATGGGAGAAATTTTTTGCAAACTATGCATCTGACAAAGGTCTAATATCCAGCATCTATAGGAACTTAAATTTACAGGAAACAAAAAAACAAACGATCCCATTAAAAAGTTGACAAAGAACATGAACAGACACTTTTCAAAAGAAGACATACATGCAGCCAACAATCATATGAAAAAAAGCCTCAACATTACTGATCATTAGAGAAATGCAAATCAAAAGCCATAATGAGATACCATCTCACACCAGTTAGAATGGCTATTAATAAAAAGCCAAAAAATAACAGATGCTGGTGAGGTTGTGGAGAAAAAAGAACACTTTTACACTGTTGGTGGGAGTGTAAATTAGTTCAACCATTGTGGAAGACAGTGTGGCAATTCCTCAAAGTCCTAAAGACAGAAATATCATTTGACCCAGTAATCCCATTACTAACCCTAACCCAATATAAATTGTTCTGTTATAAAGACATGTATGCATATGTTCACTGCAGCACTATTCACATAGCAAAGACATGGAATTAACCTATATGCCTATCAATGATAGACTGGATAAAGAAAATGTGGTACATATACACCATGGAATACTGTGCAGCCATAACGAAGAACAAGATCATATCTTTTGCAGGGAACTAGATGGAGCTAGAGGCCATTATCCTTGGTAAAAAAAAAAAAAATGCAGGAACAGAAAATCAAAGACCACATATTCTCACTTATAAGTGAGAGCTCAATGATGAGAACACAGTGACACATAGAGGGGAACAACACACACTGGGGCCTATTGGAGGGTAGCGGGTGGGAGGAGGGAGAGGGTCAGTGAAAATAACTGATGAGTACTAGGCTTAATACCTGGGTGATGAAATAATCTGTACAACAAACCTGCAGGACACAAGTTTATCTGTATAACAAACCTGCACATGTACCCCTGAACATAAACTAAAAATTAAAGAAAAAAATTTTCTTTTTCTTTTTATTTGATTTTTGATTTAACTCATGGTTATTTAGAGCGGTGTTGTGTTATCTTTTCCAAACTTTTGTGACATTTCTAGTTACCATTTTCTTGGTGAATTTTAGTATCATTCCTTTCTGGTCAGAAAACATACCTTGTATGATTTCAAACATTTGGAATTCATTGAGACGTGTTGCACAGCCAAGCATAGGCTCTATTTTGATTTCCCAAATACACTGGAAAATCTTACATATTTTGCAGTTATTGCGTATATTGTTCTGCATGTCAATTGTCATGTTGTTAAAATGTGATGCTCAATTTTCTTCACAATAGTACTGATTTTTAAGTACTTTTTCTGTTATTTAGAAAGATGCACTAAAATTTAATATAGAATTACAGGTTTGTTTATCTTATTGTTAGTTATGATATTTTTTTCTTTTAAAATTGTTATCAGGTACACACAGATTTGAGATTATTTTGTCTTCCTTTCCAGCTGACCTTTTATCATATTAAAATACCACTCTTTATGACTTAAAATTCTACCTGCTTTAAAGTCTACCTTGTCTGTATTAGTATCACTATACCAGCTTTCTTTTGGTTAATGTTTTCAAGATATAATTTTATCTATCTTAATATTTTGAACTTGTGTAATTGTATTTCATGTATATTTCTTATCAACAGGGTATAATTATGTCTTTTTTAAATTCAGTCTTATGATTTCTGCTTTTTGATATAATTAATGAATAAATTTATATTTACTGTCATGACTGATATAGTTGGAATTATTTCCTATATATTTATAGTTTGTTCCCATTCCTTTCTATCTCCTTTCTTGCCTCCTTTTATAATCGATCAAGTGATATTCATTTTATATGTTCTATTAGCTTGTAATTGTATATTTTTTGTTATTCTGTTACTGATCACCCCAGAAATTACCACATGCAGTTTCAACTTATAATACTCTATTCTAAATTAACATTTTCAATATTTCTACATAATGCAAGAATTTTACAAAAGGGAACCTGTCTCTCTTTTTCTGTTGTTTATGCTCCCACGTTATTTTACTGGTGTGAATAATTTAGCCCCACAGTGGGTTGCTAGCATTATTAATTTAAATATTAATATTATTTAAGTGTTTTTACGGTTTTACCCGGTTCAGTGGTATTCCTTTCTCCTTGTAATTTTGTGCATCTGTGTGACATCATGTTGCATTAATCTGGAGAACTTCCCTTAATTTTTTTTATAGGTTCATTGGTGACAAATTCTCTCAGATTATTTTAATATTAAAGTATTTTTATGACTTTTACTTCTAAAGGATAATTTAACATGATACAGAACTCTAGACTCACACTCTTTTGTTTGTTTCTTTTGTCTATTGCTATCATTTATTGTCATTTGGCTTTTACAGTTATGGTTGAAAAGCTTGCCTGGGGCCTTACTGTTGCTTCTTTGAACAAAAAATGTGTTTGTCTCTAAGCTGCTAATATTTCACTTTGCCTTTGGTTTTCAGTAATTTTACTAAGACACACATAAATATGGTCATCTAGTTATTTGTCCTAATTGGAGTTTGCTGTGCTTGAATGTGTGGGCTGACATCTTTTATCAGTTTATCAGATATTTCTCAGCCATTATCTTGAACATAATTTATTTTGTTCTACATGTTTTTTACACCCTTTTCTTCTTTCCAATCTTTTATTTACCCTCTCTGTGCTCCTGTTTGGATTTTTTTTTATTTCCTTGAGGTCACTAGTCATACTCTACTATGGGATTTTTTTGTGTGTTTTCAATTCTGGAATGTCATTTTTATTCTTTTTTATAGATTCCAGTTCTCTCGATATTTTTAATAATTTTGTTCATTTATTTATTTATTTGAGATGGAGTCTTTTTTTTTTCTTTTCTTTTTTTTGAGACAGAGTCTCCCTCTGTTGCCCACGCTGGAGTGCAGTGACACTATCTCTGCTCACTGCAAGCTCTGCCTCCCGGGTTCACGCCATTCTCCTGCCTCAGCCTCCCAAGCAGCTGGGACTACAGGCGCCCGCCACCACGCCTGGCTAGTTTTTTTGCATTTTTAGTAGAGACGGGGTTTCACCGTGTTAGCCAGGATGGTCTCCATCTCCTGACCTCGTGATCCGCCTGCCTCGGCCTCCCAAAGTAATGGGATTACAGGCGTGAGCCACCGTGCCCGGCAGAGGTGGAGTCTTACTCTTGTCTCCCAGCCTGGAGTGGTGCAATCTTGGCTCACTGCAACCTCTGGTTCAAGCGATTCTCTTGCCTCAGCCTCTCGAATAGCCGGTATTACAGGTGCACGCCACCACAGCCAGCGAATCTCTGTATTTTAATAGAGAAAGGGTTTCACCATGTTGGCAAGGCTGGTCTCCAACTCCTGACCTCAAGTGATCCTGCCTGGCTTGGCCTCCTAAAGTGCTAGGATTATAGGCATGAGCCACCACACCTGGCCTCATTTTGTTATTATATTCCTTGTGTTGTTTAACATATTTATAATAGGTGTTTTAAGTCCACATGAGTATAATGTACTATCTGAATTATCTCTGTCTTTATAGTTTTTGTTAACATTTTAAAACTTTTTGGTCACATTTTCATTTCTCTTTGCATACCTTGTAATTTTTTTTGCATTCAGGAAATTGTGTGGAAAAACCGTAGAAGCTGAAGATTTTTTTCCCCCCTCAAAGAGGGTTTATTTTTTCATCTGTTAGGTAGGCAGTGCGAAGGTCTAGTTACTCAATGCAGTCAGGTGGGTCAGGTCTAAGTAGCAGTTTGAGCAAGCCTTAATTCACAGCTGGTATGTCGCCAATTTCTTGGGCATGTTCCTCCTAGACTCTTGATTGCAAGATTAACAGTTCTTTGTTTCTTCAGCTCTGAAACACAGGAAGTGATCAGTTCTTTTTTTTTAGAAGTCTTCAACCAAGCTCCTTAGCTCCCCACCCAGTACCAATTATATTTTTGCAAATCTTGAGGGAGGTCTAGCCTCAGGCCGACTTCCTCTTTCTAGTAGGACTTTGTCTCCTAAGGACTGTTGTGGTGTGGTGGTTTCCTTCTGTCTTCAGATGTTTCTGGATAGCCCTCTAACTTTCCATGTTGCCTCAGGACTCAGCAGTGTTCAATTAGGAAATACTCATGCTTTTGGAGCTTTGCTAGATTTCAACCTGTCATGCCGGTTCACCAGACCATCAATACTTACCTGGGATTTCTTTCTCCCAGTTTAGTTGCTATGCCCAGCCCAAACCTATCTTCAACTTATAATTAGAATTTGCAAAGGTCAAAGAGCAATTTTCAGATTTCCTAGTAAGGGCGATTTCTGCTCTAAAATGTTTAGTGCATCAAGTCTTTGTCGTGTTGTTTGTTTGTTTGTTTGTTTTCCCCCAGCAATCGGATCTATTTAAGCCTATGATTACAAATTATCCAGTTTTCTTCCTGGTTCTTACCACGAGAGTGTTAGCCTGCACTGACCTACCTGGAAAGACAAATCCCAGAATAATACTTTGTGGAGGTACATTATTCCTTTTGCTTAATCTCCAACTGTCAACTTACAAAGTATTTTAATTTATTTTTTAAAAACCTTATTCTTGTCTAGATATAGTTTGGTTCTTATGCATATCTCGATACAGTTTGGAACTCACACATATAGAAGCATAAGTCTTTTCTCTTGGTATTCACTCCAGATTCTCTGCTATATCATGCCCAGATAACACATTCCATTTTGTGTAAAATGTAATTTTCTGGAAAGCCTACCATTCATTTTACTATCCTTTGTGAGAGCCATATGAACTTTCAGAGGAACAAAAGTCCATGAAAAGAGCAGGGGAAATGCCCAGTGAAAAGTGGCTGGGTGACATCGACTTTAAATGTGCAATAGTTCCAATGCCAGATTTCCTCCTAAGCAGTGCCAATTGGCAGACACAGAAATCCTCACCTCCTCCCAGTGTTAAACTCAGCAGTCAAAAACTAGATGTAGTGGGAAGTGTTGATTTAACACCAGGGAAGAAACATGGTCTGATGCTAGCTTTAGTAAACATTTAAAAGAAGGTTTTTAAGAGTGTTAGCTTAAAAGGCAGACAGAAGGACAGAGAATAAGAGCAGAGGAACAAAGATGACAGAACTGTAGAAATGTGAGGAGAAGCTTCCTGACTGACAGGAGGACGAATGAAGCTTGGAATAATCTAGAGTAAAGCTCCACTTTAAATAATGTTTACATCAGTTTGGGTCACATGAGATTACCGACGCATCCACGTAAATGTAGAGAAATATACATATATATGTGCACGATGATGGTGTAATGTATTAAATAAATACATATGTGTATACATGTATGTAACATGTATGAAAGATATATAATTTCTTTATATATTCAAAAATGTATGTAAGAAACTATTTGTGTCTAGAAATGTTTTTATTGTTCTCATTCTTAGAAACGCAGAGAAAATCATGCTTAATTCCCTTGAAGAATGACCTCTATGTACACAGTTGTATTTGTTGTTATTAAAAAAATTACATCAGACACTTTGATGAGTACAGATAATTTTGGGGAATTTGATGATATAAATATTAATATGCCATAGATGTTGCCTTGAATAAACTTTTAGTCTACAAAGGGGAAAAAGTAGGCAAGAAGATAATTAAAATACTGTAAATAAACGATAATAGAAGGAGGTAAAATGTATCAAAAAATAAGACAGTTTTGAAAGCTAGTAAGAGAAATATGTAACTGCTTTAAAGAGGAGGTGATGGTCAGGTGCAGTGGCTCACACCTGTAATCCCAACACTTTAGGATGCCAAGGCAGACAGATCACTTGAGTTCAGGAGTTCGAGACTGGCCTGGCCAACATGGTGAAACTCCATCTCTACTAAAAATACAAAAATCAGCCGGACGTGGTGGTACACACCTGTAATACCCGTTGCTCTAGAGGCTGAAGTAGGGGAGTCGCTTGAACCCAGGAGGCCAAGACTGCAGTGAGCCAAGATTGTGCCACTGCACTCCAGCCTGGGCAAGAGAGCAAGACTATGTCTCAAAACAAACAAACAAACAAACAAACAATGTGATATTCAGATTAGAGTTGAAGAATACAAATTAATGTCTAATGTATTCATTGTTCCCCTCTTCTCTCCTTCATAAAACTCACTTCTAACATATACTAAGTGTTTAATACACTGCATGTAAATATATGAGA
The DNA here is from genome assembly GCF_000001405.40 of Homo sapiens. Taxonomy (NCBI): domain Eukaryota; kingdom Metazoa; phylum Chordata; class Mammalia; order Primates; family Hominidae; genus Homo; species Homo sapiens. Next base: position 165,562,112 of record NC_000005.10, read on the forward strand.
AACTTATAATGTGGTCTGCTTGAGTACATTTATTTTACCCTAACATTAGAATTACAATGGTCCCCTTATATAGTAAGCTGTTATATCTAGTTATGTGGACTACACACTTTATCCTTCCTCAAAGTTGTCTTTGTTACTTTGGAATTTTCTACACTAGTATTTTAGAAAAATATGTTACCCTCTGTGAAAATCTGAGGAGAGTTTTAGTAAAATTGCTGTGAATTTTATAGGTTGATGTATAAAATTGGACATCTGTATGATTTTGAGTCATACCATTTAAGAAAATGGTATGTGTTTCCATTTATCTAATTGCACATTTTACTTCCATTTACTCATAAGTACATTATTATTTTGGAGCTTTATTATTATAAAAATATTTCCTAATTGTTGGTGCTGGGGGAAAGAATTCTACTAGCTTTTAAATATATTGATTGTGTATCCAGAATCCTCAATGAAAACTCTTGTTATTTGTACTGTTTTATGTGTAATTTCCCCTGGATAGCTATTAAATGGTCATGAATTATTTTCTGTGAATAGTGATGATTTTATTTATTCATTTCAATCTTTCTACCTGTTTGCTTTTCATGCTTTAGTCCAGACCAATGTTAAATTCAAAAAGAGATAGTGATATCCTTGTCTTGTTATTAGATTTCGAGATGATGGATTAATCTTTCATTATTATATAAGATACTTGCTGAGGTTTTTTTGGTAGATATCCTTTAGAAATTTTAATATATTTGCTTTATTTCTAACTTTTATCTAGAAATTGTGTTAATCATAAATGATGAAAATTTATCATTTTTTTCAATGTCCGTGGTACTAATGATCAGGTTTTTCTCCAGAGCAAATCTATTAATATCTACAGAATAGTATAATGTGAAACACTTCTATATTTCTTAGCTCTAATCTGCAAATGAGGAAAAAATACCTATAGTGGCTTAAATCATGATATACAACATTCCAGGTTTAGCAAACACTGGCCAGGAATTGAATGTTTTATTTGAACTAAACTCACAGACCAAGAAGTTTTAAGGCTTATAACAAATTTATTAATTAACAATATGATTGTCTATTTTAGGCAATAAAACATAGCAAATTTAATATAGGTAAAACATAAAATTTTTATTCTCCTTAACTGTGCTACATAAAGTCACAGAGAGTTGAGATTTAAGTCAGTGTATTTTACTGTGGATTTTATTTCCTTTGAAGAACCAGTGGTTGAATATCAATATCAATACAGGTATCAATACTCCCAGGATTAAGAAGACTTTTTATCTCTCCTAAAAGAAGTTATTCACAAACATAAAGGAAGGGCTTTTTCCTCCTCATATAAATTATTTTGTAATATCTTAGTTCTGTTGTGGTTCAAGTTTGACTCCTCGGAAGAATACTTTAGCCCTGGAGTAGCTTCCATATTGGGAGAGAGGTCAAATGTAATCTTTGTGGAAATGTTTGCAATTCAAATTATTTCTATGAATAGAACACCTGGGAATTTTGAGGGAAAAGCTTCTCAGCAGTGTTCTAACTCCTTATTGTTTTCATCCCTTTAAGAGCCTGCATGCCAGTAGTCATAAAAGGACAGGTTTTGTTGAGAATCACTTGGAGTAAAGAGGCTTTAAACATATATCAATTGAAAGATATCTGAATGAAACGACTGATCGAAACAATTTGCCATCTCTAAAAACCCTTAATCAAACTTCTACCCACCCCTGATTTTGGGATAATAAAAACAAACTTAATTGAAGTATACAGTAAAATTGGTTATTGATATCTGTAAACATTATCTCAGATAAATCCTGGGAAAACCAAAAGAACAATAATGACGTAGTCTGTTTGCAAGAATCTTTTGATGATTTTGGTTAATTAATTAAAAACAATTGTTAAATAACATAGTGTGTTAGTCTGTTCTCACACTGCTATAAAGAATACCTGAGAATTGGGTAGTTTATTAAGGAAAAAAGAGGTTTAATTGACTCACAGTTCCACATGGCTGGGGAGGCCTCAGGAAACTTACAATCATGGCCGAAGGTGAAGGGGAAGCAACCGTCTTCACAAGGAGGCAGGAGGAGGAGAGCAGAGGAAATTGCCATTTATAAAACCATTAGATGTCATGAGAATTCACTCACTGTCATGAAAACAGCATGAGGGAAACTGCCCCCATGATCCAGTCACCTCTCACCAGATTCCTCCCTCAATACCTGGGGATTACAATTTGGATTATAATTCAAGGTGATCTTTGGGTGGGGACACAGAGCCAGACCATATCACCCAGTATATTACTCCAGAATGTGAGCTCCTTGGGCATCATGGCCTTGTCTATCTTGTTTTTGTTGAAGTATTATACTCAATATCAAGAACAGTGGCTGGCACACAAGAGGACCTCAATAAACATATGTTTTAAAAGTGAAATAATAAATTATATTCTTTTCATTTGTAGTAGCCACTAGATTCTAAGTTCGAGTTTTTGTATTGCTTAGTGTTACTCACCTGAGACCTTCACCAATAACATAAGGATAGTTTTCTTTCACATAACCACAATGAGTGGGTAATTTCTATGTGATAGGCTCTGAGAATGAGCACTTTTATATTATCTCAGTTAATGTTCTCAATAGCACTGTACTGGATACTACTGTTGTTTGCATTTTGCAGATAGCAAAGGCTAACGGAAGGTATTTAGTATATAGTGTGGTGGAAAATCAACAGGGTCATACCTTGTATGCTTGTTTCTCTACTTTTCAAAACAGAGCTATTTAATCTGTGCTATACTAACTCCCCAAATCCCAATAATCTATTTACTGTCATTTCTCAATGTCATGGAAGAGAAGGAAGCTTACTGAATTAAAAAGGTTCATGTTTTTTTTTGTTTTTTGTTTTTTTCATATAGCAGCATTTATTTTGGAATGTTAAACTGCTTTTAAATGCATCCATGAAAGTTTGTCAACTACCCGGAAGATAACAACATCAAGAGCAAACATACTTTTAATTCTAAGGTGTAATTTTGTTTTCCATTTTCACTACAGGCAGGAAGCTGAAAAAGATATGCATTTGCATTTAAAGAATGTTGTCTCTAAATTCATCTCTCATGCATCCCCATGATTCATTATTCATTCTTCAATTGTAAAATTGTAGGCAGTTTAGGGGAATGATGAAGATGATTTTGAGACGAAAGACATGATTCACTGAAAATAATATAACAAAGGGTCAGGAATTGGGCATAAGAGCAGAATGGCAATACCTTTTTATTTCATTATAGCATTTACCTCTGTCAAGAAGCTGGGTGATTAATTAAGGCCTCGATCTTTTTCATCTTGAGATCATACAACCCCAAACCTACCCTTACATGTGTTATAGCATGTGCTTTGCCTCTCTGTTCCTTTGGATTGCAATTTCTTTAATGGAATTTCTGTTGAGCAATCACTGAACTCATATTTTATTCTCTTTTTAAATCAAAGTTTTCATTCTGGTCAGGTGGCTGTTCTTGGCAAGGAAAGAAAGGAGGCATGCCTTAGTTGTCGGGGCCTTTCTCTGAGAGTTCTAATTGACAAGGGAACTCTTTACAGGTGATTGAAAGAGATCGCTTTGTACGGAAAAACTGTAATATCTCTGTCACTTTCTGCATGCAGATGACAAGCTTCTACCAGCTTCAGAGCTTCATTTTCTCCAGCTTCAGGGACTTTTATGATTTCTATCCATTCAAATTGGTCCAAGCCAGTGAACTATTCCCATCTCTTCAGCCGGACCAATCTGCCCTTATCACAACAGAGGTGCTGGAAGCTTTGTGAATTACAAGCTGTTTCTCATGTTTATTGATGGATTGATATTTGGGAAAGGACTAAGATTTTCTTTTCTAATGTTCAGTTATTTCCACTGAAACTGAACATCACCCCTCTCAAGTCCTCCCTTCCACACAGAGCTCAGTTTCTGAGTGTGAAGCCTCTGGGAGAGGGAACTGAAGTAATTGAATCGGATTAGACAAGCCAGCAGAACAAAGTCACATTCCATGAGGTGTTTCCAGCATCGAGTAGATGAATTGTAATTATTTAAGGATTAGTGCAAGCCTGAGATGAGGTCCATTCTGAATACTCTTCACCGTGTATAAACAAAAGCAAGAAGTAGTAATATAGGCTGTTTAAGCTTCTTTTTATCTCTAATAGATTTCGGTTAGAGCTGTGTGAACTTGAAAAACTGCTGCCAGAGTGAACATACTCATTCATTGTTTTTCAATAAAAAGTTAGGCCAAGCTAAGCCCTCAAGTCTAGGGAGAGAGATTAATTAAGGCTACACCCTTTACTGTAATTTACAGGGACAACATTTTACTATATACCATAAACAAGGGGAATTGAGCTCATTTTAAAAAATAAAGTTATTATTTCCTTCTACTTTTCTTTTAAATTATAGAGTTACAAAAAATTTGCAAAAACAGCCAGAGAGTTTTCAAATACCCTGCATAATTTCTTCTTTTGTTAATATACCACTGTGGTATATTTGTTACAATTAATGGACAAATAATAATATATGAATGTTAACTATACTCCATACATTATTGTCCTAGTAACTATTAGGACAATAGTTACTGTCCCTTTTCTACTCCAGGATCGCATCCAGGTCACATTTAGTCATCATGTCTCCTTAGGTTGCTTTTGGCTGTGACAGTTTTCCATACTTTTCTTTCTGTTTTTTTTGTTGTTGTTGTTATTATTTGTTTGTTTGTTTATTTTGATGACCTTGATAGTTTTAGAGTCTTTCTCAGGTATTATGTAAACTGTTCCTCAATTTGAGCTTGGCTGATATTTCCCTCATGGCTGGACTGGGGTTATGGGTTATTGGAAGCAAGAACACAGAGGTAGAGTGCCCTTCTCAATACAACAGATTACATATACAGAGTAGCATGTATTCTATCAGCATGACTTTTCAATCACTGATGATGCTAACCTTGCCCACCTGGCAAAGGTATTCTCCATAGTACACTTCATTTTTAATTTTTTTCTTTACTGTACTCCTTGAGAGTAACTCACTAACTGTAGCCCACACTTAAGGGGCAGTCAGTTATACTCAAATTTTGTGAGTGGGAAATATCTACATAAATTGTTTGAAATTCTTCTATACTTGAAATGTGTCTTTTCTTCTCTGTTTATTAATTGATTCGGTGATTGTTTTTTGTATCAGTATGGACTCGTGAATATTTACTTTACATTTAGGATTATAATCTACTACTATGCTACTATTTTGTTGCAGCTTTGCCATTGGAAGTTATTTCACTGGTTCCTCTGTCCCTTTGACATATCCTCATAGTGAATTTTTATTTCTTTGTTCTATCATTTAATTACTTTCTGGCACTAATAGATCCATCAGATCCATATTGTACATTTCTTCCTCAGGTCTAGAATCAGCTGTTTCTTTAAGGATCCCAGATTCCTTTTATTGGAGAATGAGATTAGAATCAAAGAGCTGGGCAATTGTTTGCAGCTACTAGAATTTCATTGTTTCTAGGTCTTCTCAATGGACAAAGCTAGGAAGTATATGTATGTATAGTACCCCATGTATACATATATATATATTTCTTCATATATATATTAATATATATCAGTATTATCCATCAGAATACCAATATCTACCTGTCTATACACACACTAATACACGCTCATCAGTATCCACTAGTGTCTGTACTAAGCTAAATCAGAGTTTATACTGGTGTCTCCTGCTCTCCTAGTTGATTATTTATGGGGTTTTTTTGCATACATTATACTTACTGCTGTATAGCTCTATAGCTTATGACAGATAGTGTCAAGGATCCTCAACTACAGTACCATATAAAATAATTTCATAGCCCTAAAATATCCCCTGTGCTTCACCTTCTCAATACTCCTCCAAACCCCTGTCAAACAACCATCTGTTTTCAGCCTCTCTAGTTTGCCTTTTTTAGAATACTGTATGAATGGAATCATATAGTACAAAGCTGTCTCACACTGGCTTCCTTCACTTAGCAATATGCATTTAAAATTCATTCATGCTTTTGTGTGGATTAATAGTTTGTTCCTTTTGGTTGCTGAATAGTATGAATGTACCACCGTTAATCAATTCACTTTCGAAGGGCATCTCAGCTGCTTCCAGTTTTTGGTGGTGATTGTGAACAAAGCTATTATCAACATTCACAGAAGGATTGTTGTTTGAACAAAAGTTTTCAAATCAGTTTGGTAAATATATAGGATGGTAATTGTTGTGTTGTATGTTAAGTCTACGTGTAGCTTATAAAAACAATAAAACTGTATTCCAAAGTGGCTGTGTACCCTGTTATTATCAGGCCCTTTTTGGATTTTAGCAATTTCTAATATGTTTATAGTGGTATTCATTGTTTTAATTTGTGTTTCTCAAGTGACACTGTGTTGAGCAATGTTTATTTGCCATCTGTATATCTTCCTTGGTGTGGTGTCTGTATAGACTTTTTGCCCATTTTTATGATGGGATGTTTGTTCATTTGTAGTTGCGTTTTAATTGCTCTTTTTGATGAGCTTGCTGGCTTTTTCTGTGTAGGTCAATGTTGCAGAGTACATGTCCCTCATGCATCAAAATCCTCTGTGCTGCTTCTTAATTACGGTATCATAGGACCAATCCTGGATATACTGAATTGGGAATCTCTTGGGGAATGCCTCAGAATGCTGAACAGTATATTTAACATGTTCTACAAGTGATTCTCATACACCCTAATATTTTTGACCTACTGGTGTATAATTTGGTGAGCCATTTCAGAGTTATAATCAGATGTTGATGATGCTGTTATAAATCAGTGGTTTTCAAATGTAGTGGCACATTTGAGTCATCTTGAAACATTTTAAATCCAAATGCCCAGACTCCTACCCAATATATTCAAGTAGATCCTCTGCAAATAGGATCCGTGCATCATTCTTGTTTAATTCATATATTAATATTTATATATTTTTGCAAGTGGTCCTAATATGCAGCCAAAATTAAGAACCACATTCCAAATTCATGTAGATGTTTAGCGGTTTCATTCATTCCACCATTAATACATTAAAAAATATATTTTCCATTTCATTTGCTGAGTTTTAATGATGTGAAATTAAACAATCATTAATCATTTGCCATATGACAAGCTTGACAGAACTGCAACTCACGTATCAGGAAGTTATGGAAATACTTAATTTCAATGTTATATAGCAATAAGATCTAAAAAGTTGTACTGGAAGATCAAATAAACAGGCAAAAAATATCTATTTTACTTTAAGAAGCATTTAGAAGATACAGCAGTATATCTCAGTCAGCCTACTCTAATGTTTAATACAACTGTTAGTAATATCCTCCCTTAAATAATCAAAATCCTGCCTTCTTCTGAATGGATAGCCTCAAAACTCTCTTGCTCTAAATATTATATTTACCCATCACTAAAAGGACTATACAGGTATCTACTACACTATTTAAGTGTTATTTAAAGGACATCTGTTAGTTATCCATTGTTGCATGTATTAGTCGGTTCTCATGCTGCTATGAAGAAATACTCAGGACTGGGTGATTTATAAACCAAAGATGTTTAGTTGACTCACAGTTAATTAAACTGTGCAGGGCTGGGGAGGCCTCAGGAAACGTACAATCATGGTGGAAGGGGAAGCAAACACATCCTGCTTCATATGACAGCAGTAAGGAGAAGTGCAGAGCAAAAGTGGGGAAAGCCCCTCGTAAGACCATCAGACCTCGTGAGAACTCACTCACTATCACGAGAGCAGGCTGAAGGTAACCGCCACCATGATTCAGTTACCTCCCACTGGGTCCCTCCCACAACACGTGGGGATTATGAAAACTACAATTCAATATGAGATTTGAGTGGGGACACAGCCAAACCATGTCACTCTGCCCTCGGCCCCTCCCAAAACTCATGTTCTCACATTTCAAAACACAATCATGCCTTTCCAACAGTCCCCCAAAGTCTTCATTTATTCCAGCATTAACCCAAAAGTCCAAGTCCAAAGCTTCATCTGCAACAAGCCAAATCCCTTCCACCTATGAGCCTGTGAAATCAAAAGCAAGTGTGTTACTTCCTAGGTAAAATAAGAATACAGGCATTGGGTAAATACTTCTATTCCAAATGGGAGAAATTGGCCAAAACAAAGGGGCTGCAGGCCCCACGCAAGTCCAAAATACAATAGGGCAGTCATTAAACCTTAAAGCTCCAAAATAATCTCCTTTGACTCCATGTCTCACATCCAGGGCACGCTGATGCAAGAAGTGAGCTCTCATTGCCTTGGGTAACTCTGCCCCTGTGGCTTTGCAAGGTACAGCCTTCTCCGTGGCTGCTTTCATGGACTGGCATTGCATGTCTGCAGCTTTTCCAGGTGCTCCGTGTAAGCTGTCAGTGGATTTACCATTCTGAGGTCTACAGGACCATGGCCCTCTTCTCACAGTTCCACTAGGCAGTGCCCCAGTAGGGACTCTTTGTGGGGGCTCCAACCCCACATTTCCTTTTCACACTTCCCTAGCAGAGGTTCTCCATAAGGGTTCCATCCCCGCAGCAAACTTCTGCCTGGATATCCAGGCATTTCCATACATCCTCTGAAATCTAGGCAGAGGTTCCCAAACCTCAATTCTTGACTTTTGTGCACCCTCAGGCTCAACACCACATGAAAGCCGCCAAGGCTTGGAGCTTGCACCGTCTGAAGCAACAGCCTGAGCTGTACATTGGCCCCTTTTAACTACAGCTGGAGCTGAAGTGACTGAGACACAGGGCACCATGTCCTGAGGCTGCATAGGGCAAAGGGGTCCCTGAACGTGGCCCATGAAACCAGAGACCTAGGTCTCTGAGCCGTGATGGGAGGGGCTGCTGTGAAGGTCTCTGACAAGCCCTAGAGACATTTTCCCCATTGTCTTGGTGATTAATATTTGGCTCCTTGTTACTTATGCAAATTTCTGCAGCTGGCTTGGACTTCTCAGGAAATGAGTTTTGCTTTTCTACCTCATGGTCAGGTTACAACTTTTCTGAACTTTTATGCTCTGCTTCCTCTTGAACACTTTGCCACTGACAAATTTCTTCCATCAGATACCCTAAATCATCTCTCTCTAGCTTAAAGTTCCACAGATCTCTAGGGCAGGGGGAAAATGCCACCAGTCTCTTTGCTAATGCATAGGGTGACTTTTGCTCCAGTTCCCAATAATTTCCTCATCTCTATCAGACACCACCTCAGCCTAGGCTTCTTTGCCCACATCATTATCAACATTTTCATCAAAACCATTCAACAAGTGTCTAGGAAGTTCCAAATGTTCCCACATCTTCTTGTCTCCTGAGCCCTCCAAACTGTCCCATTTTCTGCCTGTTACCCAGTTCCAAAATTGCTTTCACATTTTTGGGTGTCTTTATAGCAGTATCCCACTCTCTGTGGTACCAATTTACTGTATTAGTCCATTCTCATGCTGCTAGGGAGAAATACCCGAGATTGTGTAATTTATAAAGAAAAGACGTTTAATTGACTCATAGTTCCACAGGCCTGGGGAGGCCTCAGGAAACTTGCAATCATGGCAGAAGGGGAAGCAAACACATCCTTCTTCATATGGTGGCGGCAGTGAGAAGTCAATTACCTCCCACCAAGTCCTTCCCATGACACATGGGGATTTGGGAAATACAATTCAAGATGAGATTTAGGTGGAGACACAGCCAAACCATATCACTACATAACAAATTGACCCCCAAATTTAGTGCCCTAAAGCAACAAACATTTATTTCCTCACAGTTTCTGGAGATGAGAAAATCAGAAGTGACTCATCTCAGTGGTACTAGCTCAGGCTAGCTCAAGAAGTTGAATTCAGCATGTCAGTGGGACCTGTTGTTATCTGAGGGTTTGATTGGGGCTGGAGAATTCACTTACAAAATGCTCATTCACATGGCTATCAGCAGGCACCCTCATTCCTTGCCACATGGGTCTTTTTATAGACTGTGAGTGTTCTCATGGCATGGCACTTAGCTGCTCTCAGAGCAAGGGATTTAAGACAGAGAGCCAAGAAGGAGGCTGCAATGCCTATCTATATAACCTAGTCTTGGAAGTCACACACTATCATTTTCACCATACATTATTTATCAGAAGCAAGTCGTTAAGTCCAGCTCACACTCAACAGGAGAGGAATTAAGCTTCACATCTTGAAAAGAATATTATCAAATAATTCCTAGACATTTAAAAAACCATCACAGAACCCTTTCAAGCTTCATATGAATTATTTTTTTAAGTTTGTTACAACTGTCATAACCACGTAACCACGTAAGATTTTATAGAAATTAAAAGCTAGCTGTAGTAACAAGATGATAGAGGCAAAATCCACACTTATATTTTTGTGCCACATACTCTTTGACTGAAAAAGTTATATATGGGGGCATAATTTAAGAACAGAAAGAGGAAGATAATCATGTGCCAGAGGTGCTTGCTGGGGGTTAGTCAAGAAAAGCTTCGAAAGGCGTTATGTCTTGAAAGTCATTTTAATAATAGTTCTTCAGGCTGTACGTGGTGGCTCATGCCTGTAATCCCAGCACTTTGGAAGGCCAAAACAGGCAGATCTCTTGAGGCCAGGAGTTTGAGACCAGCCTGGCCAACCTAGCGAAACACCTGTCTCTACTAAAAATACAAAAATCAGCTGGGCATGGTGGCATATGCCTGTAATTCCACCTACTTGGAAGGCTGAGGCACGAGAATCACTTGACCCTGGGAGGCAGAGGTTGCAGTGAGCCAAGATCACGCCGCTGCACTCCAGCCTGGGTGACAGTGAGACTCTGACTCAAAAAAAAAAAAAAAAAAAAAAAAAAAGAATAGTTCTTCAGGGTCATGATGGTAGAGAAGAAGGGACTTTTCTTGCTGATAAAATAGCAAGTGCAAAGGCACATCCTTTTGGGAACTCTAAACTATTTTACTTAATTTACAAAATGAATGTAAGGCATGGAAGTAGATGAGTCTAGAAATAAAGGCAGGATCAGAACTGTAGATATGTCACAGTAAAGAATTCTACTCTCTTTATTCAGAAAGTAGTTAATAATCAAGTCTTTGCAACATTATTACTACCATAAGCAAAAGAACCAAAAGGAATTTTGAAATTGGTATGACAAACTAATACTATTCTTATAGTAAGGATTACTTAGAAAAAAACTAGACTGATCAAATGGTTAGTTAAATAAATATATTCTACCTAGAGTATGCTAATAATTATAATTTCTTAGATGATTGATTTCTACTTTCATTTTATTCATCTAAATACAGTCTTTTGTACTTGTAACCACTTCAGATATATGGAAATCTAAAGTATTAAAGCAAATATTATGCCAACAAGAATTTACTTTATGTATTTATTTTTAATTGCCCTCACTGAATTTCTTTAATTTTCTGGTGTTCCAAATATGGAAGAAATGTTAAAATATTAAATGACTTATTATTCGTTCATACATGTTTGGCTAGACAGGTTGGGAAGTGTTGGGTAGGATGAGACGTGAACCAATCAAGTAGGCTGGCACAGGGGAAGGGTCGTGGGTGCCAGGGCTTCCATTGCATGTGCTGCTTCCTGGAGCATTCAGACTAAGGATGAGTCAGAGTATGATTCAAGGAAGAAAAATAGGGAAGCCAAAATCAAGGAAATTTAAGCCAAGATCAAGAACCAGGTACATACAGGATTTAAGAGAGCATTAAGGACAGTGATGGAGTTGACGTCAGTGGTACTAAAAATAATTTTATGACATGGAGTTGTGCACTTTACAATGCACACTTCACACTTGTACAGTGTGTTAATGAATGGCACTGACAGAATAATATAGAACCTCTATTTCTGTAGTATCTCATTCCAAATCATTAGAACAAACTTTTTTGAATATATCTTCATTGGTTTAATTCTGGAAATCATAACCTAAAATAGCTTAATGCCAATATTCAAAGGAAAATACACCTTTTGTGTGCATGCCCTCCTTTTCATTTGTTTTCATCAACGTAAAAGAACATCATTAATTTAAACAATAACTCAGAAAAAAAAACAGAAAAAACTCATTTAAAAGACGTGATGATGAAAATAATCAAAGTGAAGGTCTGGAAAAACTCATTATGAAAATTAAATTAGTGATTTTTCCTTTCCACTTATTTTCTTTAAGTGTGTGGGGATTGTTTCACTTTTCTTGCCAGATAATGCTTCCTGTAATAAAAACAGGAAGCTGTGTTCCATCACCATAAGCAGGGAATAGTCATGATTCATTTCCAATGACAAAGGAAGTGTGTCGCTTTTTCCAAGCCTCCTCAGAAGTTGGTTTAGCATCAGGTGCATCTGTCTGACTCCTCCAATCACAGATGCACCCTCTTAGCTTTGTGGAAGCTTTTCTCCTTCCAATATATCCTGAATCTCTATGTGCATTTCAAAATAGATGTTGTATTTTTTGTCCAGTGTTTAAATTAGGCAAGAGTGTAGAGCAGCTTTTTTTCTTGCTGAGTGAGAGATAAAGAGAGAGAAAATGAACAAAAGAGATATTTCTCAGTTGGACATATGATTCCAAGCCGTTTTTATGAAGATGGCTGTCACTCTCGCAAGCTTCTGGGCACTGATATCTTTGGATCTCACACTGCTACTCTCCAGGTTATGGTCTTCAGCATCGTCAACACCAAGTGTTTTCCAAAATCAAAGTGGGAGCAGACTCAATATTCCCATTAAATAGGATTCAGGCCAACTCATCTGGATTTGAAATATGTGTCCACCTACCAAAAAGCTATAGATTTCAAGACCCCTGGTGACAGATCTCTAGAGTTAACCTGGCAAGGAGGCAAGGGCAACTGCAAAAAGAAAGAAGCAGAACTGGCAGGAATTTTTGGTATCAGATAGCTACCACTGCTTTCTCTTTTTCTTCTGTAAGATTTTCCTTATTGTACACTTCCCTTTTCTTAAACTGCAACTCTTCCCTGAGTACTGTAAACTAGTATTGTGTTTTAATTTCCACTGTGTCATACAGGAGATTCTGCATGGCGCATAAAAATGCATTGTTTGTTGCTATAGTTCATTCTATCCTCAGCATTTATATATTAGTAGTGATATTATACAGAACTTTCTAATAAGGCATCTCAATTTCCAATGTATTCCACTGGGAAACATGATGCATCAATCACTGACTATTTCTTTGTTGCTTACCTTTTGTATAAAAGAGTCAACCATCTCTGCAGGTGCAGTGGTTCACACCTGTAATCACAGCACTTTGGGAGGCGAAGATGTAGGATCCCTTGAAACCAGAAGTTTTGGACCAGCCCTGGCAACATAATGAAAGGCAATGCTGTCTCTACAAGAAAATAAAAAATTTTAAAAATGCCCATAGTCCTAGCTACTTGGGAGGCTGAGGTGGGAGTATCACTTGGGGCGGGGAGGTCAAGGCTGCAGTGAGCCATAATTGCACCACTGCACTCCAGCTTGGGCAACTGAGATCTGTCTTAAAAAAAAAAAGAGTCAATTACATGCTAATTACTCAAAAAGTATTGTTAGATGAATTTAGACTGTTTCCAAAATTTCAATACTTAGAATTGTTTATGTGTACATGATTTCATGATTTGGGAGCCTAAGGTACCAAGGACTGTTGTACTTCCACAATTATGTAAAACACATCAAAATTATCAGAAGAATAAGAATAATATAAATTGTTTTTAATGCATCTTTTTTAAGACATAGAAATAAATGTAACTAATTTGCCTTATTCTTCCCATAGTTTGTGACTCTTTTTCAAAGATACTTCACATTTTACACCTACATCATTGTCATTGCTCCTGCAGAGGCAAGGAAAGAAAAAAATGAGAGATTAGAACAGAAAGTTTTGAGCATGCTTTTAATTATAAAAGCCTGTGATAACCCTATTGAGGAATTGTTTATTTTATAAAGTGAACAACATTCAAAGCTAACTCAATATACTAATGTTAAAAATTATTCACATGGCAATTAGTTCATTTCTGAGGTTTTCTATTTTGCTTATTTCAATATGAATTCACTGATGATATCTGCATCTAAGTAAAAATGAATTTATCAGAAGTACTATGGAGTCTCAAACAATTAGTAGGAGGCTGGAGGACAAAACATGGAAATTGTCAGAAACCAAGAAGAAAGATGCACAGTGATCATTTTGTAACTGAAACAATGTGATCAGGATGTTGGATGACATATAAGGTTGAATGACCTACATATATTCCTTTCTCTTTGGTTCACCAGAGCCTCAGTGATCAAAAGCGTTTAAGCTACAAGCTGGCCCCCTAGATCTCTTGGGGCAGGAGATGAGTAAATGGTCTCTTGAATTACAACTTAAGCCATTTTTATTTTATTTTATTTTATTTTATTATTATTATTTTTTGAGATGGAGTCTTGCTCTGTTGCCCAGGCTGGAGTGCAGTGGCGTGATCTCCGCTCACTTCCCAGATTCATGCCATTCTCCTGCCTCAGCCTCCCAAGTAGCTCGGACTACAGGCGCCCGCCACCACGCCCGGCTAATTTTTTGTATTTTTAGTAGAGACGGGGTTTCACCATGTTAACCAGGATGGTCTCGATCTCCTGACCTTGTGATCTGCCCACCTCGGCCTCCCAAAGTGCTGGGATTACAGGCATGAGCCACCACGCCTGGCCAACTTCAGCCATTTTTATCTTCCAATCTGGGAAAATACCAACAGCAATAACCTTCTTACCAAGCCTGGGGATAAGGAGATAATTCCCCCACAAGAAAATGGAGAGTATACAAAGAGAGACTGAAACTGAGTAACTTCAAGTAAGAAATCCCCATGATTTCATTATGAAATGGTAAAAAGTATATGTGCAATACTTCTGAGCTACAAAGAACACTTGTATTTTCTCCTTTGCATTTATAACTGAAGTTCATCCTGTTTAAAAAACTAGGTATCTCAAACTTTTAAGTGAAGAATCTCAGTTTGAGTCACATTCCGTTTCATTCTGCCCTAATCCCTAGATATATACTGATTGTGCATGCAGGACTCTAGTTTCTTCTTGACTAATGGCAGGAAGGTGAACCTCTATGTCACCATTAACTACGGTATAAGCTAGTCCTGGTAGAACAACTTGTTGAAATAGTGATTTGCAATAGACTAAGAAACATTCCCTGTAGTCAACATTCAAAATCCTACTATCATCAGGTCTCCAAGAAATTTTGTTTGATAAATACTGTTGAAGTAACAGTTTTTCATTACTTATAAAGTGGTAAGATTCGTAAGTATGAACAGTGTGTTTTTAAACATTGTTGCACTATTTGAACTTTGGCAAAAATTGTGGTGTCTGAAAGAATATGCTCATTAATCTTTACAAACAAGTTTAAGGTTTATTTCTTAGTAACATTTGATACATGAAAAAATAAGAAGTTGGCTTTGTTAGCATTTTACCACAAATGCCAATAGTTATTTTTCTTTTCTGACTCAATAATTCATGTCCTGGATCTGTAAGAACCATTGAAAACACAAGCAATTTTAATGTCCTATTCTCCATTTTGATGGTGCTGTGTTTAGCTGTGTGAGTGAGTGCTTATTTATTTAGAACTCTGTTGATATTACTTTACATGTTAAACAGGTGGAATAAATGTCCAACCTCCTGAATATATGAGCTGTGTGTTTTCCATGCGTTTTCTTTCTTTCTTCATTCCCGTTTTCTCTCTTATATTCTTTGTTTGCTTGGGTGTTTTTTGTTTTTTTTAGACAGGGTCTCACTCTGTCACCCAGCTGGACTGCCATAGCATAATCATGGCTCACTGTAACCTTTAACTCCTGGGCTCAAGCAATCCCCCTGCCTTAGCCTCCCAAGCAGTTTGGACTACAGGTGCTCACCACCGTGCCCAGCTAATTATTTTATTTTTTTGAAGAGATCGACTCTCACCTTGTTGCCCAGGGTGGTCTCAAACTCCTGGCCTCAAGCGATCCTAACATCTCAGCCTCCGAAAGCATTGAGATTACAGGCACGAGCCACCACACCCAGTCTCATATTCTTTTTTGTTGTTGTTTTTTTCCCAGTAGTTCGTTTATTTTCTTCCTTTCTGATTGCATCCATGTCCAATGTAGTCACCCAGTTATATTTCATTTCTTATCAATTCACAACATTCATGTTCATTTTTAAAACCTCAATAAAACCAATTGTACTACATAACCTTTTAAAGATATGATGCATCTTGATGAATGGGAAACATAATAGTAGAAGCTCTTAAAAAAAGAACCTCTAATTCTGAATAACTGGCACATTAAATCATCATCCAACTATACCATTGTGCTCTAAAAAATTCTCAACTCTCAGAAGTAACATAATTAATAGTTGAGAGAGATAAAGATTATAATATTTAATTTGGTTGCAACAGAAAAGCACATTTGGAAAACATTTACTAGAATTCAAAAAAGATGGATACAAATCAATTTTGCCTGTTGTCTACATTGCTGTTTCATTCTCCAATTGCCAACACACCATAAATTTGTACTAGAATTAGAATTTTGACATATCATTAATCAGAGAAATAAATATGAAACAGCTTGATGAACCCTAGTATAAGAAACAAAATTTCAAATAAAAAGTCATCCCGTATGCGTCATTTCTTGCAGGAGCTTAATATAATTTAGGAAGTCATATAATAAATTTCTACAAAGGACACAAGCTCCCTCATCCTTGTTTTTTATGGAAATTTTTCTAAGAGAAAATATTAGCTTAATATCATAAAAATGTGTTTTCACATATTGTTGGTACCATCTCTCATGATGTTCACATCTAACTTCTACTGAATTTTACTTTTAAGATAGTAATTTATATCTAGCATGGAAATTTTTCTATGTATAAGGTATGACTAGAGAGTTCTTGTTAAACTGAAAAATATGACCACTTGAGTTTATTAAGCTGCATTACATACATTGAACTTTTAATATATCAATAAAGAATAGACCATGCCTCAATTTGAATGTCTATAAGTGGCTATTAAAATAGTCCTGGCAAGAAATACTCATAGCATAGAAAACGTAGTGTAGCTGATAGATGGATATGAGAGCTGTTTAAGAGCTAAGGCCAACAGTCCTGGGTGAATAGATTATGGAGAGTGAGAGGGTAAGATGACAAGTATGACTCCTAGGTTTCTGTTTCAAACAGTTGGGCCTACATTAGTACCCTCAACAAAGAAACCATGAATTGAGTTTCTAGACTAGATTTTTTGACTTGTTCTACTTCTTTCCACATTTGTTATCCTGCCCTCAAACTCTGCCTTTATACTAAAAAAGGCCCCAGAAGCCACTTCCGAGTGTCTTAAAGATATATACGATATATATGGCCTTTCAAAGCTAACCCTTTTCCAAAATTAAGTAGAGTTTGCATCTCTTGCTCTTATTTTGTGACCTTAGTTTCTACTTTTTGGGGTAAACCCATATAGTATTGCCTGGCTAGATATTTGAAGTCATAGCTGTTCGGATGCTATTTTTACATATGCCCAAAGCCCATGCTTTGTAGGCTTACTTACTTGGGTATGAAGCCCTAGGCTTACCTTGCAAGGATGAAAATTTAGGCACATATTTTTTATTCTTTTTGGAAACTTCGTTGAAATCTTCTTTATTAAATCTATCACTCAATGTGTGCTTTCTACCAAGCACAGAATAAGAATAGTATCACCAATCTCTATGCTGACTTTCTTTCTAACTAACTGAAGAAATATGATGGCCATTTATGTAGGTAAAGTCTCAAGTTGAATAGACCGAAGACATATAAGAGGGAAGGTTTCACGTGGCAGTCCATATAATGCCCCCCCAATGGTATAAGATCTTAACGTCTAGAATCTGTGAATGTTGTTTTATATGGGAAAATGGTCTTTGCAGTTGTGATTTGGTTAATGATTTTCATATAGGTAGATTATCCTAGATTATCTGGGTGCATCCTAAGTGTAATCACAAGTGTCCTTACAGGAGGGAGGGAGAGGGGGTTTCAGGGACAGAAGTTAATGTGATCATGCAGGCAGAAATAGCAGTAATGTGGCCACAGGCCAAGGAATGCCAGAAGCCACAAGCCAAGGAATGCCAGTAACTGTCAAAAGACAGCAAAGAACACATTCTCCCCTAGGGCCTCCAGAGAAAGTGTAGCCCTACAGACACCTTGATTTCAGTCCACTGAAACTTATTTTGAACTTCTGGTCTCCAGAACTGTGAAAGCATAAGCATCTGTTGTTTTAAACTACCAAGTTTGTGGTAATCTGTTACAGCAGTTACAGAAAGCTAATGCATATAGAATAATGTTTATGAGTGTAGTAGGCTCTACAGCCAAACTGTTTTAAGTTTGAAAACTAACTTTTTGTTACTATGAAAATGGGGCAAATTATAGTTTGTTCAGTATTTTGGTGTTTTTTTAAAATATGATTATGATAATATAATAGTAAGAATCCATTTCATAGA
Source organism: Homo sapiens (assembly GCF_000001405.40). Classification (NCBI taxonomy): domain Eukaryota; kingdom Metazoa; phylum Chordata; class Mammalia; order Primates; family Hominidae; genus Homo; species Homo sapiens. Next base: position 165,580,501 of record NC_000005.10, read on the forward strand.
ATTGTGTGAGCATTAAAGAGAATGATTCTTGTAAAGTGGCTAGAAAAGTCACACACAGATGTTAACTATTATTATTTATTTAACATTATAATGTTCTGCAGTAGCAAGGATAGTTAGGGAATTTCCATCTTTGAAGTCTTACAGTTATTCATTTTCTTGTGCCTAGAAAACGATGGATTTTCATTCTGAATTATATCAGTCTCAAAGATTTTATAATTGTATAACAAAATTGGAGTTATTAATAGTAGGAGATTGACAAAATGATTCTGAGAGTTGATTCTAGCTTATTTGATAAGGACCAAAGTTCTTTGGTAATAGCAAGGACTAGAGAAAATAATGAAGAAAGTAACTGCTGTAATATCTGGTAACTTAAGCCAATTTGCAAAAGTCACAGCAGTGGTCAGTCCTGGGATTTCCTCTAGACAGGAGGTGAAACAACATGGAATTATTAAAATATTTACTCATTTACACTGATGACAGCCACATTAGCAGTCACAAGTCCGCAATACTCAGGAGGCTGGCAAGCTCACAGACTCTCTACAATTAATTCTTTTATAAACCGAAACATCTCCTTTCTGTTATGTGAACCAATTTCAAACTTTATCTCACAGCTTCTTTTAAACTTTAACCTGTTCACTTAGGTATGTTTTCAATTTACTTCTTCATTTTGTTTGATGTAGCATTTTAACTTATTCTATTATTAACATGAAGAGTATGAGCCTGGTAATTGAGGGAACTAGAAGTATCATATTGCAATTTTTTTATTTAAGTTTCCTGCTCTATTTAGTTGATTTGGAACTCTATACTGGAATCATTCATTCTCATGTTTAAAAGGATGTGGGCATATGCTAGTCTTTTTCCGTGTTCTTATCTGCCATGTTGTCCCAGAATTCAATGACTTAATACATTTTACTTCTTCCAAATAAATCCAATGCCTTAACAGATATGGTTTGGCCCTGTGTCCCCACCCAAAACTCATCTTAAATTGTACTCCCATAATTCCCACGTGTTGTGGGAGGGACCCAGTGGGAAATAATTTTAATCATGGGGGAAGTTTCCCCCATACTGTTCTCTTGGAAGTGAATAAGTCTCATGAGATCTGATGGGTTCATCAGAGGTTTCCGCTTTTGCATCTTCCTCATTTTCTCTTGCTGCTGCCATGTAAGAAGTGCCTTTTGCCTCCCACCATGATTCCGAGGCCTCCCCAGCCATGTAGAACTGTAAGTCCAAATTAAACCTCTTTTTATTTATTTATTTATATTTATTTATTTATTTATTTATTTATCTATTTAGAGATGGAGTCTCTCTCTGTCGCCCAGGCTGGAGTGCAAGTGCAGTGGCGTGATCTCCACTCACTGCAAGCTCCTCCTCCGGGGTTCACGCCATTCGCCATTCTCCTGCCTCAGCCTCCCGAGTAGCTGGGACTACAGGCGCTCACCACCACGCCTGGCTAATTTTTTGTATTTTTAGTAGAGACGGGGTTTCACCGTGTTAGCCAGGATGGTCTTTATCTCCTGACCTCGTGATCCACCCACCTTGGCCTCCTAAAGTGCTGGGATTACAGGCATAAGCCACCACGCCTGGCCCAATTAAACCTCTTTTTCTTCCCAGACTTGGTTATGTCTTTATCAGCATTGTGACATGGACTTCTCAAATATGATAGATATAATTTATCTCTAATATAAGATGTTTTATATACAACCACGTAACATTGAAAATAACAGAGATATTACTAAAGAGAGAACTTTGGAACCAGGGCATGTGGTGAGATTAGTATTTAATATATAATATTTTATCTAATTAATGGGACATTGAAGTTTTAACCTACAGTATTTTGCCATATTATTGACTTGTTTAAATACTCCTGTAGTTGTAGAAAGGAGAATATCCTGGGTGTCAACTTCCACATCTGTTAATCTGGATAGGATTCTAATTCAGTGTTTACAAAATTGTGAACCACAAAATTAGTTTCGCAAGATATTATTTGATGTTCTATGAAAACCACATTCTGTGATCAAAAAGCCTTGGCAAGTACTTGGATAAAGTTAAATGCTTGTTGTTTATTTCCTTTAGCATTCCTCAGAATACTTTAATACAGTGAAGTTTAGTATAATCTGATGCTCCTAAAGTAGGTAGAATTCCCTGATTCTGAAATCTATTTAAAAAGACAAATTTTAGCTTTGTTTTCTCATTTGTTGTTAATAACCTTGTACCATATTATGGATCTAGTTTTTCTTCGAAAGTGGTTTGGAACACAAAGGAACACATGATATCTAAGCTCTACTCCAGTGGTAACATCCTTATTTTTCTTTCTTTGTTTTCTTTTTTTTTTTTTTTTGAGACGGTGTTTCGCTCTGTCGCCAGGCTGGAGTACAGTGGCACGATCTTGGCTCACTGCAGCCTCTGCCTCCCGCGTTCGAGCAATTCTCCTGCCTCAGCTTCCTGAGTAGCTGGGACTACAGGCATGTGCCTCCATGCCCAGCTAATTTTTGCATTTTTAGTAGAGGCGGGGTTTCACCATGTTGGCCAGGATGGTCTTGATCTCCTGACCTCGTAATCCACCCGCCTCGGCCTCCCAAAGTGCTGGGATTACAGACGTGAGCCATGGCACCCAGCCTTTTCTTTCTTAATTGTAGAATTAATACATGAATTCATTGAAAAAAGCAAACCACTGCTGACTAATGTTTTAGTAATATATCCCCTTTCTAATTTCTTCTTATCAAATCCTGTCGTAAAAGATAACACATATATATATATATAATCCAGTTTATATCCAATTTCTTATTTTTCCCTGTATTTCTTCCTCCCCTGTATTGCTATTTCACCTGAATTCATGTATTTAGTAAATCATATGCAGTGCTTCTTTTTAAACTTTTACCCTATAACAGGAATGCTTGGGGATGCCTAAAGATAGGTGTTACATTAAAAATAAATGTATTTCTGAACAGAAAAAACAAGAGTGTGACTGAACATTATTTCAAGAGTACAAAGTCATAGCAGATTATTTTTGCAATTTTGGGTAAAGAGACTTAAGGAAAATCTGGCTCATACCTCTAAAATTTTGAAAAATGAACATGGATAATTTTTGCTTCTGAGTCTCCAAGAACCCCCTGGGGCATACTCTGTGTGAGGCAGTTGAAAATGTCATTTTTAAGGCTATGGAAATGATAGCTTTTCTTCCATAATTGATCAAACTGAAGGTAGCAATTTTATATATGTAAGTATTTTCTTAGTAGTGGTTTTAGGACTATTTGGGCAGGTAGAAATCACCATGTAAAAGCAATTTCTGGTTTTAGAGAAAGAGTAAAAAGGAAAAAAAAAAGTGTATAAAACCCTAACCTACTCCAAATATAGTTTATTCCACTTAAGAAGGAAGATCATTCTGTTCCAAAGGCCTCTACGTTACTGCATAAAGAGGGAGGTAAAAGATTGAAGCAGTTTCTTCGTTACATTTAGCATTTTCTCTGATTTTTTTGATTTTATAAAGGAGATCTTTTGCTAACAGGAGTTTGTTGCTTTATAACGGTTTTTATCCACAAAATAGCTAAGATTAGCCACAATATAAAATATGTATTGAAGAAGTTTCATCTGTTCAATGATGCTAATAGTAATCTGTGATCGCCGATTTATAGAGAGGAGTCAGTCCATAGACTCACCACTCTGCTAAGGTGCACCAGGTGCAAGAAAAATGTAAGGGACAACTCTTCAAAGATGAAAGGCACGTCCCTGTTAGCTATTGTAAGCTGCAGGCTCTCATGATCTTCTTGCATCTTCAAAGATCCCTAGGGCTGCTATGTAAGGCCTGTCGTGGCTCCTTCTTACTCACTGCCAGTCTCCAGCTTCCACTAGCCATATAGAATCTTCTTGGCATGAGACCTCCCTAGTTGTTTTCTGATCCTCTTTAAAGTCAAAAAAAAAAAAAAAAAGAAGATAAGAAGTTAGAGGAAAATCAGCTACTTTTTTCTCTTTTTTATCTGTGCTAACCTTGAGGCTAGTCATGAAATACAAACTTATTTTTTCTCTTTTAGTTTCATCCTTCATATAAAGCTTAGCTAGATGATAGAGAAGGCGGCAGATGGGAATCAGGCCATGTCTCCTACCTGCATAAAAATGTAATTATTAAAATTATCTGTTTATTTTGTAAAGATGGGAAATTGGAAGATTATCTCTTTTTGCCCCTGCAAATGGATGCTAATGTTCAATATCAAAGCAATAAATTTTTACTTGGCAGCAGATTTCTTTTATGTAGGATGGTTTCATTTCTGTTACATGACTAAATATCCCCAAATTAAATCTGATGATTGTTTGGGGCTCATCTTCTAATAGAACGTGATTTAAAATCATCATTTTTTTCATATAAAATATTAATTTTTTTCTCAGGTATTGCATAAAAAGACCTTAGGAACAGTGCTTGGGAAATAGTAAGCACTCAAAATTAATAGGCATTTTGTTTTATTATTATTATTCCTATTTTATAGTGGAAAGATTCACAGTATCCAACCGTAGAAGATGGACTAATGACATACATTACACACATTTGGAGGATTAAAGCATAGTCATTATTAAAGACTTCAATGAAAACTCTTCAGTTAAATGAGGGAAATAGACAAATCTTTTTAAAATATTGACTATAAAATAGCTTCTATGTGCTATGCTAGAAAATATCTTATACATACTAAAAATAATCCTGAGAAAATATAAAAAGCAATGAGCATATATATATGAATAATGAAAACATGAGTAATTTTCTTTTCATTCTACTTTATTATCTAAATCAAAAATATATAAATATAGATAGACAGATGTTACTTTAACGTGAAATATGTAAATCTTGGCACTTTAAGATAAACAGCTAATCCCATTCTTCAGAAAAAGATCCATGCACAATTTGCCAGCATATTTTTATCAAAACAGTTTTGCAAAAGTATAACTGACCACTTTCCAGGAGTGTAAAATGTATCTTGAGGTTAGTGTTCCAAATTTCTACTTTAGAATTAGTAAACTTTGTAATTCCTATAACCTTTGTACTAGGCATACACATCATTTCACATTTATTTTAGTTCCGTTCTCCAATTAAGTAACAGAACTTGCAATCTCCGTTTTCTCCCATAAATTAATTCAATTCGACAAGTAAATGGAAGACCAAGCACAGTGAGACACAATGCCACATCCCTCTGCTTTAGGGATAGGGGACTTGCTCCTTACAAAGCTCTCCTGTAACAGCCAACAGTGCTGGTTCAGGTTTGCCATAGAAAAGAATGTGCTCCCTTGCTCTTTCTCTTTATTGGCATATCCATTTCTGGATGATTGATTATTGCCTAGAGTCTTCAGGAAGCCTGGGGAAGCAAACTCAGCTCTCCTCGGAATGTTTTTGTTCAGCCAAGCCCTAGGCAAGGAGGCATCTGTTGAGGGACGCTGTTAGAATCCTTCAGGTGTAATGAAAGAAGTTAACATCTACATTACTCTAAAGCAGTGGTCCCTGGAACACCTGCAACAGAGTCATCTGGGGAAGCTGCTAAAAATTCAGATGCCTTGGCTCCACCCCAAAACAATTAAATAAAAATATTTGAGGGTGAAGATCAAGTACAGCCATTTAAAAAAATTCCTCAGTGACCTCCTTTACACATTAAGATTTTAGAACCAGCAATGTGAATTTTCACTGTGTCTATGCAAGCGCTATTAAGTCCTTTGGTAGGTTAATTGAAGACTAACAACTGGGATATTCTTGACTCTTGTGTACTCCTTTTCTACAATAATTATCTGCTTTAAAGCTAAAATTTGCTTCTCTGGTGGAAGCTTTAACCAGATTGACACTTTTCTTTATTTGCTTCTGGGGAAATAGATAGGATTATGCTGTAATCCTAATAACTCCCCCCCCCCCCAAATAAACCAACAACAGACATTTTAATTCACCAATCATTTCTTCATTTAGCTTTCCTTTTCTGTTAAATCAAGAATAAGAAAACAAATGTGACTGGGTGCGGTGGCTCATGCCTGTAATCCCAGCACTTTGGGAGGCCGAAGTGGGCCAATCATGAGGTCAAGAGTTCGAGACCAGCCTGGCCAACATAGTGAAACCCTGTCTCTATTAAAAATACATAAAAAATTAGCCGGGTGTGGTGGCAGGCGCCTGTAATCCCAGCTACTTGGGAGGCTGAAGCAGGAGAATTGCTTGAACCCAGGAGGTGGAGGTTGCAGTAAGCCGAGATGACACCACTGCACACGAGCCCGGGTGACAGAGCAAGACTCCGTCTCAAAAAAGGAAAAAAAAAAAAAAAAGAAAAGAGAAGAAAACAAATTCTTAGTACCTTCTCGATATTGTGCACTTTGATGCCATCTCCAAACAACTACGATTGGTATGGAATCTAACACAAAACGTTTTATTACAAGTGACGGAAAATGCAGTGGCTTAAACACTCAATGGAATTAACTGAAAAATACAGAGATAGAGAGAATGGACTCCAGGTGTGGCTAAATCCAGTGACACAGTAAAATCTTCATAGAAAGCTGGTATTAGGCTTGAACCTCGTCTTACTATTATATCTCCTCATGGTGATAGACAGCATTCTGCAGATTCTGGAGCCTGTATTCTTCCTTGTTCACATCCAGAAGGAAGAGAATTTTAGTCTAGGTAGATGTCACGTGAAAATGAGAAATTATTTTTTCTCCGTTTCCAGAAACTCCAAGCAAATGTTTTCACCTCATTTGCCCACACAATTTAGTCACATACTCATCTCTGAACCAATGATTGTATTCTGAAGATAATTGCCTTAGGCCAATTGGCTCCTCTCCTGGAATTGGAGACATAGATGCCTCTTCCTAGAGCATATGGAGAAAAGTGAATAATAAAATGAAATCCGAAATGAAAATCAGCTTACTGCATATAAAAGTAAAAGGTAGGGCTCAGCTGACAGTTATTCCATATAGTGAGGGAGACACAAAGTATCTCCTATTTAGCTACCTTATTATATCAATACTAAGGACCCACATCACTGGATACATGAACTAAAGATTCTATCCATCAACAAATAAAACAACTTTGGAAAAATACATGATTAATGTATAAGCCCATCTACTTTCAAAAATATTTATATAACCGTATGAATACATTTTTATTGTTTGCTTAAGGTTACATAAAGTTTTGGAAAATCCATGTGAAAATAATGTGTAAGAAATGCCATTGAAATAATAATTGGTACCTATTTTCAGATGTTTATTTTCATTGGATTATCATATTTGGACAATGTAATTATCTCTAACTTTTCTGCCATTTCGGGTAGGATCGGAGATATTTTTACATCATTTTAGCTTTCTGATAAGAAAAAAATAAATATATGTACATAAAATATGTTTCCTGATAATGAACTCAAACAGGAATTTGTCTTATTGAGTCTTATTAAATCACTTTCAAAATGATTTGAGAGGCAGTGTAGGAAAAAACCGCAACTATGATTTCAAAGGAGATAACATTGATTTAGCAACACACAGTAGGATTCTACACGAGAATGAACTGATGAGACATACTGGAGTATTTCATTCACAATAGTCTACATGTAGCTTTTATAATTTACATAATCATATATGATATGTAAAGCAGAATATGCAAATGTCCAAGTAACAGTGTCAACTGATGCTGTCTAACGCTACCACCACTTCCCTTCGTGAAGACTGTAAACTCTTTCCCTGACTCAATGTTAACTCAGAGTGGATTTATGTCTGGATTTACTTTTCTTTTCTACCTTCAGAAAACAGGACTTTAGGACGACTAATCTGAATCTGGCAAACAAGAAAAATGTATAAAACTTTTGAAGAGGGGAAAAAGCATAGAGCAGTTGTCCCATAGTCGGCTCCTTGGTATCTGCAGGGGATTGGTTCCAGAGGCCCTGTGGATACCAAAATCTATGTTTGCTCAAGTCCCTGATATAAAATAGCCCAGTATTTGTGTAAACCTACATACACCCTCCCATATACTTTAAATAATCTCTAGGTTACTTATAATGCCTAATGCAATATAAATAGTTGTATTTTTTTATTTGTATCATTTTGTATTGTTGCATTTAAGATATTTTTTCTCAAATATTTGTCATCCACCGTTGTTTGAATCCCTGATGGAGAAGCTGCAGATACGAAGGGCTGATTGTATGTGTATTAGAGACAGAAATAGAAAGGGATAGGCTAGAAATCACCAGGGTAAAGAATATAACTGAAGGGCTATTTGTAAAAAGGGTTGAGGATCCTTATGATTTAAAGGCAGGGGATTACTGACTGAAAGTCCACCACATTCCCATGTCTTGCTTAGTAGCAAGAAATAAAAGAAACATTTAAAAGGAGAGATAATATTTGTTCTGTGTCTGCTATGTGACAGGGTATCATAAAAACAAATTAGCTGTGTTCAAGAGTTATGTTACCCATAACTTACAAATTAATTTGGCTTCTATTCAAGGGACCAGTCATATTCTAAATAGAATTACTTAATTACAACTGCAGATTCTGAGCTGGGACTCTGATTGGCCTAGCTAGGATCAGCTGCAGACCTTTTGACAAATCTGCCAGTGGCATCTGTGGATGTGACTTTGATTGGCAGATTAGGTCACATGCCCATTTATAGACATAAACTATGCCTGGTTTGTCAGTTTCCAAGGGCAAAAGTGTGGCTGCCTTGTATGTGACTAAGGAGATAGAAGTAGGAAAAGAACATTTCTGAGAAACTGGTAGGAGAGAGTGGAGCTGGGCAGATAAAACTTGGTGTCTGCAGGAGCCATTGGAAAGTGCCCTTTCTCTGACCACATCTGGGAAAATTTGAGTATCAAAATACACAGTGATAATGATGAATTATGGCGAATTGAATAAAATAGGTATGTGTGAAGCCATACTGATATAAATAAATAAATAGAAAAATTTTTACTTAACTAGAATGCCAAATAATAGATCTAGAAAGCATGATGGAGCTAAAACATTATCAATGTTTGCTAAAGTAGTGAGTTTGAAGAGCAGAAATTTTGTATAATCTCAAAGAATGTCCTTACAAATTTGTCATTGGTAATTATAAAGGGAAATACAATGCTACAGAGCAGAAATCTGTGGACTCTGCCTTCACCAAGGGATGAAAGTTAACATCACTCGTACTGGGACACACATCATGGGCCTCCTCATATGGAACACTTAAAGAGGCATGATATCACTGCTGCAATACTTCTGTTCACATGCATAATCAAACCATAAAATACAACAGAGACTCGAACTGAGAAACATTGCCTAAAATAACTGGCCTATGTTCTTCAGAAACATGAAGATCAATGTACACCAAGAAAGGCTGAGATACTTTTCTAGATTAAAAGAGACTAATGAGGCATCATATATAAATGCAGTACATGATCCCAGATTCGTTCTTGGACAGGAAAATGATCGCTAAAAAGGACATTAATGGAACAATTAAAATGGGTTGTGGCTTAGATAATATTATGTTTTTGTTAAAGTTCCTTATTTTGATAATCATAGTGTGGTTAGAAAGGGGAATGTCATAGTTCTTATGCAAAACATACTGAAGTATTTGCGGATATCATCACTTACCTTTTTTTTTTTTTCTTTTTTTTTGAGGTGGAGTTTTGCTCTTGTTGCCAATGTTGGAGTACAATGGCGCCATCTTGGCTCGCTGCAACCTCTGCCTCCCAGGTTCAAGTGATTCTCCTGCCTCAGCCTTCCCAAGTAGCTGGGATTACAGACATGCACCACCATGCAGGGCTAATTTTCTATTTTTAGTAGAGACGGGGTTTCTCCGTGTTGGTCAGGCTGGTCTCCAACTCCCGACCTCAGGTGATCCACCCACTCGGCCTCCCAAAGTGCTGGGATTACAGGCGTGGGCTACCGTGCCCGGCCCATCACTTACTCTTAAATATCAATCAGTGGATATTGACTGTTGTTGAATACACACATGAAGGATGTCAACTTTTGAAATAATGAGGATCAAAACTGCTGCTATTACAATCAATGTTTAAATATGTGTTCCATGATATAAGCTGAGTATTTAGAATATTATATGCTATTGATCCTTTTTATTTAGTTCTAGGACTGTAAGAAATAACTGTACTTGAAGAATGGATCAGAGACATTTTGCAAACATACTTTCATTAATGACTCGTGCTTATTCCACATTAGATGGATAAATTTTAAATATATTGCATAGACATCCAATCTTATGGGACTCTCTGTAGACATCATAGGATTAGAAAAAAATCTCTGAAAAATCTAAGCTTCTTGTTTGTCATTTTAAAACTTGATACATAAGAAATTCACATTCCAAAACACATTTTTTTCCAAACAATATAAAAAGGAACAGTTTTGTTTAAAAAAATTCTGTTAATGTGGAAAATTTTAATTGCCATTTCAAGTAATATGTTTTACTGTTTTTTCAAGTTTTTAATATTTCAAGGTTGGCTGAAGTTTTCCTTGATAAACCGAAACTTGTGGGATAATAATGGGGGTTGGCAACCATACTTAGACTTGGGCAAATTTCATTATTAAAAGCTATATATTATTGCTGGGCACGGTGGCTCACGCCTGTGATCCCAGCACTTTGGGAGGCCAAGGCAGGCAGATCACAAGGTCAGGAGATCAAGACCATCCTGGCTAACACAGTGAAACCCCGTCTCCACTAAAAATACAAAAAAAATTAGCAGGGCATGGTGGCAGGCGCCTGTATTCCCAGCTACTCGGGAGGCCGAGGCAGGAGAATGGCATGAACCCGGGAGGCAGAGGTTGCAGTGAGCCGAGATTGCGCCACTGCACTCCAGCCTGGGTGACAGAGCGAGACTCCATCTCCAAAAACAAAAACAAACAAAACAGCTATATATTATTTTAACATATTCCAAATAATGTTTTTTAACTAAATGGGTTTATATTTTTTATTCAACTACAGAGCATTATATTTAATAATAATTCAAAGACTTGCTACATATTTTAACATGAATTAGAAGCAGATAATGTCTGAAATGGAAGAATGGCAGAAATTATCTGGTCGAGATAAAAACTGATATCCAGAGAATCTAAGGAAATTGACCTAGTAAGAACATATGTCATGTGTTTCTCTTATTATATTCTTTCTTATTCCACTTTTACTATATTATTCCTTATGAATCTCCCCAAAAATGATAGAAGGAGAAAATACTAATATTTTAAAGCAAAGAAAATTTGATAAAATATTTAGCAGAAAAAATAGAATTTTTTTTTTTTTTTTTTTTTTTTTTTGCTGACATGAGAGTATTATTCTGTAACATTTTTTTTTTAATCCATGCTATGTCTAAACATCCTTTGCATCACTTAGTAGCTGGTTGACCAATGCAGGCATTTGCAAAATAGTACGCTTGGGGCATGAATGAGATTTTAGTAGATTTCAAAAGTAAATAACATAGTACAAAATAGCATATTCTGAAACACAATCCTTAACAAACTGATTTACTTGCACGTAACATTTTAAGAAACCTCTACTGGACATTTTGTTGCAGAGTAGGTTAAAGGAGAAAAAAGATTCCTTCTTTCTTTATTCCTTGTCTTCCTCTTTCTCTAGCTAGTTAAATGGCTGTGGATTTACTTGCTATTAATTACAAAACTATAGCTATTAATCTGCATTTATTCTAAATTTGAGGAGAGAGTAGAACACATAAGGAAAGAATATTGTCATTGCAGGGCCATCTGCAAAAGGAAGGAAGGAAGAAAAACAGAGATAATATCATTATATTTTGCAATAGGGCCACCTTCAAAATAAAAAGAGGAAGAAAGGATGGAAGAAAAACAAAGGAAGGAAGGAAAGAAGGAAGGAAGGAAGGAAGGAAAACAAAACTGTGAAATAGCAGAGAAAAAAAGGAGGTGTAGGAATATGATTAAAAATTTTACCTTTGTTCCTAAAATAACATGAGTGCTTTCACTTGCAATTAAAATGTGTACTTTAAGGAAGGCAGGGAGGCGGGCAAAGAAATAATGTCATTCTAGGACCCTCTGCAAAAGAAAGGAAAGAGGGAAAAGAGAGAAAGAAAGGAGGGAGCGAGGGAGGAGGGAAGGAAGGAAGGAAGGAAGGAAGGCAGGCAGGCAGGCAAAGAAATAACGTTGTCATTCTAGAACCATCTGCAAAAGAAAGAAAAGAGGGAAAGGAGGGAAAGAAGGAAAGAAGGAAGGTGGGCAAAGAAATAGTGTCATTGTAGGACCATCTGCAAAAGAAAGAAGAGAGGGAAAGGAGGGAAAGAAGGAAGGAAGGGAGGGAGGGAGGAAAGAAAATAGGGAAAGGAGGGAAAGAAGGAAGGAAGGGAGGGAGGGAGGGAAAGAAGGGAGGGAGGGAGGGAAAGAAGGAAGGAAGGGAGGGAGGGAGGGAGTTTTTTTAAAACTTAAAATTTGTAAATGGTAAGGATCTGTTTTTAAAATGTGTTCTGTTGGGACTCAGAATTCTGATTGCTACTTGTCCTTTGCTTGTTGTACCCAGACTTCTTCCCTGTAGGATTAGCTGTAGATTAAAAAGATACATAAATTGAAATAGATAGAAGTGTATGTGTATGTGTGTGTGTCTATACTTGTGTGTGTATTAGCATGAGTATAATTTTAGAAAGCAATCATCAAATAGTGCTCTAAATTAGAAGAAGAACTTAAGACCTAAGAATAAATCAAAATGCAAATAAGCCAAAAACATTATTAAAAATGAACAACAAATATGTCACTCTGCTCCTTGGTCATGAAAGCAACAAGGTAAACCTATTCACTTAAATATCATTTCTCACTGGCTGAACAAAGTGGTGGAGATGGATTTTTGGTTTGTTTGGGGTTTTTTTGTTTGTTTGTTTTGGCTTTAAAGTAATTTTTTCTACTAGCCTTTATACCTAGCACACTACAGTAGAGCATAGGAGAGGACAGTGCTGTCATTAACAGCCTTTATACAACACATTAAATAGCAGGTTCATGGTGATTCACCATAATTCCATGTTAGAGTCTCTCAATGTAAGTAGAGTTCACAATGTCAACCAGTAAAGCACACACACACAAAATCTGAAGGAAGCCATAAAGGAGTGTCCTTCTCTACTGTTTTCTTGTTGTTAGACACAAAATGACCCCAAATTAAAAGACAATCCGCTTACTAATAAAAGTGTTACATTATCTTCCATAAGGTATTATTTGGCCTTGTGCTGCTGCAAAGATACTGAAAGAAAAGTCCCATAGGTCATAGGAGACAGAAAGAGAGAAAAAGATAGATAGAGACAGAGAGAGAGAACAGATTCACATTTTGAAATCTTTGAAATTGTGATTTTTCTGTCAGTCTGTGTTGTATTCGATTTGATGAAATGTGGTACTTTTTTGTTTTTTGTTTTTGTAACAAATGACCTTTTACCCTTGGATTCTACATAGTTTAAACAGCTCTGGTGAAAATGTTATGTTGATATGTTCATTTGCAGTTTTCATACAAAAGATAATTAATTGCTCCTTAGAGGTTTGGGTTTGAGAAGAATTTCTGTGAATAAATTAATCTCCTGAACCTTTTACTTCTGCAGAGGAAGGAATTCCTCAGGTCAGGACAAACTCTAGCATTACAAACAAAATGTACTTTTCTTCTATATGTTTGCTTTCTTTAAGAAAATGATTAGAAAGATCAACATGCAAATAACAGACTAAACTTCTTACGGGGGGATAAATAGTTAGCAATATATTCTGAAAATCACTGAGACCAGGATCTATTTCTATGAACGTCAGTTAGTTGTATGATAATCAGAATACATTGTTTGAAGAAAAATATTAATTTAGGTAGGTCTGAAGAGTTGTCACCAAGTTAATTAATCCCATCTGCTATTTTTACTCTCCGAGCTGGAGCAATCTGTTTGCCAGGAATTCAAAACCAGAAAAAAGGCCCCATGAGCCCCACTAACAATCTTTGTCTACAATGCCTTTCCCCTAATATACATGAATTCAAATTTGAAAAGGCGACGAAGAAAAAAAAATTGTTAGGAAAATCTGATTTATTTCATTTGTGCTCATGGAAATTTAGAAAATTAACTTTAAGTATCACGACATTCAAAAAAACAAAACTGTGAAATTGCAGAGGAAAAAAAAGGAGGTGTAGGAATATGATTAAAAATTTTACCTTTGTTCCTAAAATAACATGAGTGCTTTCACTTGCAATTAAAATGTGTACTTTATTCCTCATAATCTCCTCCTTGATTTCTTATGTCAAAAAATGTTCTTCTCTTATTAACATGAGAGTTTGACTTTGGAGTCAAACTTGAAAGTTGATTTTTTCATACTTATCTTTCTACCTAGTTTTCAGATACTACTGTATTTTGAAAGGCCTAATATTAGCTCTGTTGTTGAAAAATCACTCACATGTGACAATGTAATGCTAGTAATTACCTGCATTATAAATTTCTGAAATAGACATATGGTATCTTGTTTTCCCCAGTGAGTTTATCACTCAGGTACTTAGATAAATATATTAACTCTTTCAGATACCTATTTTCCTAAGCCTTAAATGAGGCTAGAAATTGAAATATAAATAAACATGTATTAATTAATGAAGAAAACTAAGAACATCCGTTATATGTACCTATAAAAATGAACTAAAAAATCAGATTTATCATTAAAAATGTCAGTTTTCTTTTTAGCGGAAAATTGCTTCATCTGACAGGTTTATTTGATGAATAGGCTGCCATAAAAGTCACCAGCAAGTGACCAACGACCAAAGTTAACATGCTATTTTTAGTCATTATTTTATTTGATCTCATAGTCTGACATTAATTTCTTCTTATTAAACCTGATTATAATTCTACCTTTATGATTACCTCTTCTCTTTCATAAACATTTTTCATAAACCTTGTGTCTATCATTTTGCTGTGTGATTTCTCTTGAAGCAATCCTTATTCATATCCGTGAACTGAAGTTTCACCTCTTCTAGTGTATCTAGATTTCATATTGTATTTCCACCTGCTAGATTCCTCGGCCTAGATACACATTAAATGTATCCCACCTAAATCTGATTCCATTTTATTTTCCCTTAAACTTGTCTTCTCAACTATATTATTATAATGAAACTGTTAGTGTCCCAACTTACTGTGCCCAGTTAATTGAAAACCTCAGTCATCCCACCCTTTCTTCTTTACTCAATATCCATTATTTACTAAGTAATTATACCTGTCCTGAATTGTAAATTCTTGAGGATAGAAACCAATTATGCCCACATTGTAGGCCCAATGTTACTTCACTTCTGACTTTATATTAGGTACACAGTAAATACTGACATGCATACAATTCCAAAGACTTATTATTCATCATCCTTATGGGTTGACTGCACCAGAATTTTCTTGTTAGAATACTGCTTGGCATTGGTGGGCTGTAGCAGGATTTAATTTTTTTCATAAACACTGTTTTCATGATCCTGTCTGTCCGGATAGGATTTTAGCTTCTTGCATATCCCTGCTTCACATGGAGAGCAAACCTACAATCCCAGGGAACATCTGGGGTTTTAACATACCCATTTAAGAAAAAGATATGTTATAAAACCTTTTAACTGATTCTAGGCCATTCTTGTAACAGTCACCGATTTATCAATTTGCTGACAATATGGGATATGAATCTCCTTATACTTGGGTCATGTGTGCAATTATGTAATTTTAAAATTTATTCTTTCAACACACAACTATTGAGTGCCTACTATATGCAAGGAACTTTTGTAGGCACTTGGGTACATTGATAGACAGAATAGACACTGATTTTTACCCTCGAGAAACTTAACCTTTTTCTAGTGAGAAAAAAAAAACAGACAATAAGCAATATTCTTAATAAATACATATATATCTAGTGCTACGTTACAAATGAAAAAGAGAACAAATGGAAAAGGTACACAGTGAATATGTGAGAGCAATGGTGCAGTTCTAAAGAGAGAGGAAGAAAGAGGACAAATGATTTTTTTTTTTTTTTTTTTTTTTTACTTTCCTGCAGAAATTGTGACTGAGGATGATAGATTACAATCCTTTTCTCCTTTCACAATTGGGGGTTGTATTTTTTTTCTTTTGTTCTCAATCGACTCCCTGCCTAAGTAGTGTGATGGAAAATCTAATGCGCTGAAGAAATAAGCTCTGAAATAGCCAATGAAAGAAGCCATTCCTAAAGAGTGAAGAGTTAATGAAGAATTTTTAACTGCCTATCGACTCAACTTCACTCTGTTACCATTTAAATGGCCTCAAATGGGATGTGAAGCTTAACATATCACGGAACAGCATGTAGTTTCTGGTGGCTGCAAACATTTTCTCATTAATCTTGGTTGCTCAGCACATCAGCAATAATAAGAAGTTTCGAGAGGGTCTATGTCCTAGCCTCAAATTTGTTTTTTCTTTTGTTTTAAAGACGGGAATAAGATAATTTAACAAAGAGTAAAACATATAAACATTTCCTACATTATTTGTACTAAAATAATTTGTTGTTTAAAGAATTAATATCTTGTTGGTATTGATGATCTGATTACACCCAGTATTCTGTTTCAACAAACAATATCTCATATGTAATTCACGTGCCTGTATCCTGTTATATTTCCTGTTCATGCTATGTCCTATGTGTTCACATATCTTAGGTTTTATGTTTTTATCTTATTCAGTTCGTCTAAAGTTCTGAACATGCTGTTTTACTCATATTATGATGGCAGTTGTAATTTTTAAATAAATTATAATTTATTATGTACATGTGCATATCTTACTCTCTAAGGCAATACCATGTTTTTTTTTTGCAAGATGCCAACTAGAACAAAGGGTTTTTCTTTCTCTGTTGATACAGATATTGACAAAATATTATGTTTATGTAAGTGACAAAAATTTACGTGTATTCTATTTATTAATTTAAAAGTGATCATATGTAACAAATCTCCCATTTCTCAACATCCCGACTGGGTGCTCTCTGTACTCTGTGTTTAGGGTGAACAAATATTCCCATTTGCCCATGATAGTTCCAATCAATGCTAGTATCTCTGCACACCATCAATAATTCCCCTTCACTCTAGAAAGCATCCCTAGTTGTATGATAAATTAAATAGTCACCATATCCATGATTGATATGAAACCTGGCTATCATTAAAGACACTGTTCTTTAATGTGACTTCTAAGACACTATTCATCTAATCTTCTACCCTTCTGGAACATCCCTACCTCTTTTGAGAATTATCGCCATCATCTTTTCTCTTTTCAACAATGTCATGGTCATTTATCCTCATTAGTTGAAGGCTTTTGCAGTTGGTGTTACACTGTATTCCAAACCCTGCTTTCTACCTTTTTGTACTTCATGCGGTTGAACAACCAAATGTTATCATGCCCCAGTTCATTCCCATGTTCATCCCTAATAATATTCACCCCTATCAAATTTCACATCTGTAACTATGCCTTAGGTTTTGCCTGCTTTATCCTAAAAATGTGATATTCAGATATTCCTGCTTCTTAACAAGCCTCCTATTTTCATATCTGTGTAGCTTTTTCATTAGTCACTTGCCCTAAATCTTTCTTTTATCTCATCAGTATCTCAAAGATTTGACCCCTTAACTCCCTTTCTTATGGTGTTTTTTGTTAATCTCTGTGAGCCTTAGGTTTTCTTTTTTAGCTTTTGAAATATTTTTTCCTTTTATATATGCTTGATTTTCCTTTTGTTCTATTCCCCCAAATAAGATAAATTCTGGAAGAACACACATTTTTATGTCTAATTCACTGCTGTCTCTCCAGAATCTACAAGAGTGCCTGGTTCATGGTAGGCCCTCAAAAGACATATGTTGAATGAATATTTGAATCAGGCAGATTGTGAATCAGATATCAACTCAGAGGTACCTATTCTGATAATCCAAATTAAAAAAAAAACTTCAATTTCCACTCTCATTCTTACTTGAGAAATACCTCTATTTTATTTGTTCTTAGCAAGAAGCAGCTCCAGAAATTTTCTTGTGTACATATTTATCTTTTTTTTCTTTAAACTTAAAGGCAGGAACTCACTCTGTCTTATCACTCCTCTATCTCTTGCAACTTAGAGTAAAGCATTAGTATATCATAGGCTTTCAGTAAATTATTTGTTCATTTAATATCTTTTCTGTAAAATGTGCATAGTAATATCACCTAGTTCACAATGCTGCTGTAAGGATCAAGTGATAAAATATGTAAGGAGCTTGGTGCATTGCTTAGCAAAAGTCACCATGCAAGATTTAGATGTCTTCATTATGCCACACAAAACAGTAGCAAGAGTAGTCTAAAAAGCAAATTTATCATACTGTCTACTTACCATTCTTAAATGGCCAGACACTGTCTTTATAAGATGATGGTCAAACTTCTTAACATAGCAGATAAGGACATTTATTATTTGGCCTTTTCTTATCTCTCTTGTCTCACCTTATGCCCTGTTCAAACCACCTCCAGTGCCATGTTCCCACCATACTGAGTTACGTTCAATTCCCCATGATTTGCTTGCCTTTCAGGCCTGTGCCAAGGCTATGTTGCCACCATATTTTAACTTGGCTTATGCCTCCATGGGCTCAGGATCTCAACTGAGATCGTTCTTCCTTGAGAGAGCATTCTCTGACTCATAAAACCATCTTCTATCCTTAGCAATTATGAAATGGCCTATTTTCTTACTGGTCTCCCTTAGACTGCAAAGTCTTTAAGGACAGGAATTATTTCGTGTTCATCTTTACATCTTTGGCACCTAATGAAGTGGCCAATGCATGGTTGGAACAGGACTCTCGCCAGCTGCCATCAACACATCTACTCACACATCACCTGCCTGTCTTCCTTTTGTCGTCAATGAAACTATTTATTCATAGCTAATCTCTATCCCTACTTGCATAATAGATTCTGTCTTTTCATGCCTATTCAAGCGAGGACTTCACTTCACTAGCTTTCTGTTGCTTTCTTACATCACTCATTTTTAATTATCAAAATCATTCTTATCTGCTTAATCTGTTTATATCATATATGTATATAGATCCTTCTTTTTACTGCTCTATTGCTCTATTTACAGCACAACTTTTTTTTTTTTTTTTTGAGTCTCACACTGTCAGCTGGATTGGAGTGCAGTGGCGCAATCTCACCTCACTGCAACCTCAGCCTCCCGGGTTCTTGTGATTCTCCTGCCCCAGCCTCCCAAGTAGCTGGGATTACAGGTGCCTGCCACCATGCCCAGCTAATTTTTTTTTTTGTATTTTTAGTAGAGACGGCATTTCACCATATTGGCCAAGGCTGGTCTCGAACTCCTAACCTTGTGATTTGCCTGCCTTGGCCTCCCAAAGTGCTGGAATTACAGGCATGAGCCACAGAGCCCGGCAGCAGCACAACTTCCTAAAATATATGTTTGTACTTAAGGTTTCTACTCCCTCCCTCAGCTTTCGTTTTAAAAATGTACTTCAACTTGGCTTTCATCCTAAACGCCATCAAAAATGACCATAACAAGGTCATCAGTAACTTCTATGTAGCCAAATGATGAATTATTTTTACTTTATTTGGAAATACTTCAAACTTATTAAAGTTCCAACAATAAAAGTAGTGCAAATAACACAATCAGCCTTTAATCATATTCATTTATAAGTTTTTATCTCATTTGCTCTCTCCCTCTCTAACATACACACACACACATATACACATCCATATTTTTTTTTGAAAATTTAGAGGTTGAGTTACATATATGTCATGGATGGACATTTAATTTTAAATACTTCAGTGTATATTTTCTAAGAATATAAGTATCTTACATTACCACAACAGAGTTATAATCTTCATAAATTTACATAGATATCATAATTGTATCTAACCTGTTATTTATATTCTAATTTTTTCATTTGATCTAACAATGTCTTTTATGCCTTCCTTCCACCCTCAGGTACAAAATCTAGTCTACAGTTAGTTATTTCATGTAGTAGCTTATTCTTTCTGAAACATTTCCACTTATTCGCTTTGCCTTTTATGACATTGATATTTCTGGAAAACAAAGTGTACCCAACACACACTATTTTCATTAATATAACACTCCTCCTTCTTGAGTGAAATAGGCAATATTTTATCTATGTCAAGGTATCACATATGCAGGCACATAATGTCCTTCGGTCCCCCACTGATAGTAATTTTGATCACACATTCAAGGTGTCTCCTGATATCTCCACTTTATAAATACTGTTATTTTTTTCTCCTTTACAACTAATAAATGGTCTGTAAATTAATTTTAAAAATAATGAAAATAAACATCCTATCCCCATGTAAAATTTCTTCCTTAGATTTAGCATCCAGATAGTTTTGCCTGATCCAAACTTCACCATGATTGTTGCAAAATGATGATTTTTTCCAACCCTGGTCTTTCTTCCACATTTACCAGTTGGCCTTCAGCATTTTACTATAAGTAAGACCCCTCCCGATTCTCTCATTTATTTCTTTATTTGTTTGTTGTCATATGAACTCAGGGTTTCCTATTTTTTCATTGTTTCATAATTCATTACTCTATTTCACCATTTTGGTGCTAAAGTTGTGTAGATTTGATCAATCTGGCTCCTGTGTTCTTGTAAAAGGCCCTCATCAATTTTGAGCACTGCTTTACTTTCTGACCTAACAAGATGTTATAGGCTCATTTTGTACCTGTTCTACCCTGCCTTGACAATCAACTGTTTCTCCTAGGATCTCTGGTTCTTTTCAGGAAGGTAGTGGAGATCAGGATTTGGGTGCAAGATATGCTTTGAGTATCTTTTCTCGATTGCCTTTTCAGTAATTATGTCTAGGAAATATATGTATGCATATACATGTATATATCCATACACACATACAAATGTAAAGAATTACATTTACTTATATACATGCATGCATACATGTGAAATCACAAATTCACAGCAATACCTTCCATTCCAATCCATTCCCACAGAGTTTTTCCTCCCTTCTCTCATTCCATATTTGTTTTCCCATTCTTCCACAGTGAGAATCCTGCCTCCTGACAACCTCCACACATTTACCCATTTACTCAATCTTGTATTACATCTAATACAGTAGATGTAATTTGGAATTCTAAAATAGCTTTAGAATTTTTATGGCCATACCACTACAATAAACAAACTTACTCAAAAAAGCTTAAGATTTATTTGCAATTATATCCCTGCTTCCTCCTGGACTGCCCAACACAAAAACTGTGTTGATAAATTATTTTGATTTGGTCAGCCTCCCTTGCCCCCTCCCTTCCTTCCTCCCTTCCTTTCTTTCATCCCATCTATGTGATTATAATATTCATTGCAATAAAATTGTGTTCATTTATTCCATTTTTCTTTGAGATTACTCCCCACCTTCTCATTCTTAAGGGAAATAAAAAGTTAAATTTTATTTATTTATAAATTCTTATGTTTATTTATAATTTGATAAAATAATTTAATTTAATAACACTGTACCTTCAAAAGGGAAAGAAACTATGCCAAAAACTTTAGTCATAGAAGTATCTTTCCTACCCTGTCCCTTTGAATTCATTCCCCTTTGTAGATAACTAATCTTATTGTTTTGTTTTGACTTTGCTTTGTTTTTTTGTGTTTGTTTCTTAATCCTGTGCTGTGTTTGTAATAAGCAGATATGTGTATGCCTTCTTACTTCTTTCTTCCACAAAACGTATTATTTGCTTTTTGTACTTTTAACCCCCATTTAGATTACTTAGAAATCACTCCTTGTCATTCAGTTCTTTCTCATTCAGTTTTACAGCTGCAATGTAATTCCATTGTACTGTAGTTTATTTAACCAATCTTGTATGCTCAAAAAATTTAAATACAACAGTTCCTTGAATAACATTATTTTGTTCAATGTTCTTTTTTTCTTATAATGTTAAAGAGGAAAAAATTCTCTTCCTGTCTGGGGCCACTGCCTTGTGGAGTTTGCATTTTCTCCCCTTGTCTGCATGGGGCTTCTCAGGGTTCTCTCCTTTCCTCTCACATCCCAACGGTACACACATAAGATGAACTGGGTCGTGTCTACATGGTCCCGGGGTGAGTGAATGTGAGTGTGTGTGAGTGTGCCCTGCGATGGGATGGTGTCCTGGACAAGGTGGGTTCCCACCTGGAGTCCTGCTGCTGAGACAGGATCTGGCTACCCAGGCCCCTGAACTGGAATAAATGGGTTGGAAAACAAATGAATGAATGAACAAACAAATGAATGAATGAATGAACAAATGAACGAACGAATGAATGAATGAACAAACAAATGAACGAATGAATGAACAAATGAACGAACGAATGAATGAATGAATGAACAAACGAATGAATGAATGAATGCAGATCATAAAATTAAAAAATTCATCAAGTATACAATAATCGTACAAGTGCACGACAGTAAACAATGTGACAGAACAGTGCTCAGCAAGCCTGCTGTATTGGAGATTGCTTGTTTTTTGAACTGCATGGTGGGAGGAGGTGCTCCTGACAATATTCCCTTTGCAAACATTTATTTCTCGATTGAACCCATCACCACCACAACCGCCCTTGCTCACTGATTCACCCAAAATTGGGTATCATCCTTTCACTAGTTTTCTTTTTTCTTTTTTTTTGAGATGGGCTCTCGCTCTGTCGCCCAGGCTGGAGTGCATTGCCACGATCTCAGCTCACTGCAAGCTCCGCCTCCCGGGTTCATGCCATTCTCCTGCCTCAGCCTCCCGAGTAGCTGGGACTACAGGCGCCCACCACCACGCCCGACTAATTTTTTTTGTATTTTTAGTAGAGATGGAGTTTCACCATGTTAGCCAGGATGGTCTCGATCTCCTGACCTCATGATCTGCCGGCCTCGGCCTCCCAAAGTGCTGGGATTACAGGCATGAGCCAACACGCCCGGCCCTTTTCACTTGTTTTTAGTAATCTTTCTTAAATATATAGCTCACATTTATTTTAATGTTTAGTATTAGAAGTGTTTTGGGTCGTTATTTAGTAATGTAGTGATGTTTTGTGACCAGAAATAGGCTGCAGAAACTAAACTCTTGCTTCTAACACTTACCCTATGGTAACACTGGTTTTGTTATACATTGTTTCACTTAAAGTCACAGTTTCAAAGAACGTATCATTTATGTTGAGAGGACTTACTGCACTTCCAACATTTTGCAATGACAAATAATACTGAAATGAATAACCTTTGTGTGTACATACTCATATTTTTGGATGTATATCTTCAGGACAAATTCCTAGAACTTGTACTGATGAATTAAAGAGTAAATTCAGTGTAATATTTTGCTAGATATTGCTAAATTCTTATGTGTATCAGTTGTGACATTTACATTCCTATCACCAATGTATGAGAGTGCCTTTTTCCCCATCATCCTGCCAAGAGATGTTATTTTCAGATTTTGAGTATTTGCCAATCTTACAGTAGAAAAATGGAACTTCAATATCATTTTAATTTACATTTGTCTATTAAGAGTGTTATTGAATGTATTTTCATAAGTTTAATAGCCATTTTCAGATCTCTTTTTGTGAATAATTAAGTTCATGTATTTTACCACGATAGGACTCTCGGTCCTGTTAGCCTCAATTTTTATAGGTTCTTTAGAAATTAGGGATATCCATTCTTTATCTGTGATATACATCATAATTGTTTTCTAGTTTTTATTTGTCTTTTGACAGAGCTTATTATTTTTACTATGTTTAAAAATATTTATGTAGTACTATGTATTGGTATGTTCTTTAATTGCATATGGATTTTTAGTCAAGTTAGATAGTCTTACAATAGAAGAATTTACCCATATGTTTTCTAGTATTTATGCAGCTTTATTTTTACATTTAGAATCTCTCATATATTTAGAATTTATGCTGGTAAGGATGTGTTGATGGTTGTATTTATATCTTTTACTAAATGGCTATCTGGTTGTTTCAATGCCATTTACAAAAATGATGCGCTGTTCCTCTATTTGCGTTGTCGAAAATATGGTGCCAGTTTAATTCTCATAGAGAAGTGATTGTGAATCACTGAGGATTTTTCTTTATGTTTAAAATTTGATACTTTTTCTAGGATATGTTTAGAATTTAGCCTTCTAGGGTCAGTTTGCCTTTGTACTCAGTGGGCTCTTTCAATGCATAGATTAAAATCTTCTTTAGGCTGGGCACGGTACGCCTGTAATCCCAGCACTTTGGGAGGCCAAGGCAGGCAGATCACGAGGTCAGGAGATCGAGACCATCCTGGCTAACACGGTGAAACCCCGTCTCTACTAAAAAAAATTTTAAAAATTAGCTGGGCGTGCTGGTGGGCGCCCGTAGTCCCAGCTACTCGGGAGGCTGAGGCAGGAGAATGGCGTGAACCAGGGAGGCGGAGGTTGCAGTGAGCAGAGATCACACCACTGCATTCCAGCCTGGGTGAGAGAGTGAGACGCCATCTCAAAAAAAAAAAAAAAGAAAAAAAAAGAAAAAAAATCTTCTTTAATTTCTAGAAACTCTTCTTGAGTTATAGTTTTAAATGTTCGGCTTTCTATATTTTATTTTCTTTTTTGGGGACATCACTAATATGAATGTTTAACCTCCTTTATATGTTTTCCACTTAAATCATTTTCTCTCTCACCCCTTTGTCTCCTTTCTTGATCTCATTTTTATTCTTTGGCTGTTTTTCTAATTTTCTTCCATGCCTTAAGTTTTCATTTAGTTCTAGACTCCCTTTTGTACCTTACAATTGTCTATATTTTTAAGGAGTTGTCTTTTCACAACATTATTTAATTAGTTCAATCAGCACTTATTTTAATTCTTCCCATTTTGCATTTCCTATTTAAGTTTTTATATTTCTGAATCAAAGTGTTCTTTCCTATTCACAAAATGCTCACTTGAGTATATGTAATTCAGTCTTGGGGGGTACTGTGTTTCAATTTTCATTGGCTGATTTTTTGTTTGGTTGGTTTGGGTTTTGTTTTGTTTTTAGGATAAAGTTTTTCTATTTTCGTTAGCAGGTCTTTCATTTGCATTTTCTAGCATTTTACAGTAGTTTTATGTTTATGTAGCCCACTTTCTTTTATTCTAATTTATTTTATGGTCAAGTTGCCAAGTTCAAGAGTATCCTACTTCATTATTATTATTATTATTATTTGTAGAGATGGTGTCTCCCTGTCTTGCCCAGGCTGGTCTCGAACTCTTGGGTAAGAGTATCCTCTTGTGTCAGTTCTACCCTCTCCTGTGTAGTTTCTCCTATAAATGTGCTGTTGCTGGTGGAAGTTGGGATAAGGTTTGGTATATCACAGCTTCTTTCCTTCTCTTCAAGGTCTCATATTTTCTCTTCTCATGTCCTTTTGTCTCCCTGTCTTGTCTTACAGGGGATCACCCTTTTTCTGTATAGCTAATTCTTCCCCAGAAGCAATGCTTCTCTAAGACTGCTACTTCCAGTTCTGCTCATGCGGAAGGCCCCTTCCCCATGGAATTATGATGTTCAGTATTTTTGTGTATTTTTTCCTATTTCTGACAGTGATTTTACTGAACTTCCTAAGACTTTCATTCCTCTCTTCTATTTTTCATGGAGTCTCCGGTTTTCTTCCTTCTGCTCACCATTACCACTGGCTTGTGATAGTGGCCACAGTTGGGGGTTGTAGGAATTTTTCCTTTTTCTTCTACTTACAGGTAATCTGAAGATTGATTCTCTCTGTCTCCTAGGAATGCTAAAGATATTTGTCTAGTGTGGTTTTATGTTTGCTGTGTTGATTTTTTTATTTTTTAGGAGTTAAGGGGAGATTTGAAATCATGCTGCTATTGTTTTGCAAAACTTCATGGGTCGATTCTCAGCCCTCATTTTGCTTGATTTCTCAGTAGTACTAGATAGCAATGCTAACTTTCTCCTTCTGAATATACTTCCTTCATTTTGTTTTTAGGACACTACATTCTTGTTTATCTGTATACCTTTCTCATTGCTTCTTCAGCTTCTGTTGCTGGTTCTTCTCTTCTCCCAGATTTCCACCTTTGTATCTACTGCCTAGATCTATCTGTTAAATCTATCTGTTAACTTCCAGACTTACATATACAGTTTTTACTCAACATCTTATCTTGGATTTCTAAAAGACACCTCATACTCAAGTGTTCAAAACTGAACTCTTGATTTGCCTCCTCCTAACTTAGCCCTGCCACCTTAAGACTTCTCTATTCCATTGATGGCAAATACATTATTTATTATTAAGACCCCAAGCCATGCATCTTTATTGACTCTTCTTTTTCTCTTCAACTTAACACTTAATTAATTCATCAAGGAATATTATTGGTTCTAATTCCAAAATCTTTCTAATTTCTCTGTTTCCTACCGCCTCTACTATTACCACACTGGTAAAAGGTGCTAACATTTTATATATAAACTACTTACAACCTCTTAACTGGTCTTCCTGCTTTCTCCATTCAGTACTTGCAGAGGCCAGAGTCATTCTTTTCAAACATAAAAGTATATATCACCTTTTTTAATTAAAAAAAAAAAAACATTTATTTTAGGTTTGGGGGTACATGAGAAGGTTTGTTACAGAGATGAACTCATATCATGGAGGTTTGTGATACAGATTATTTCATCACCCAAGTATTAATCCCAGTGCACAAGAGCTATCTTTTCTGCTCCTCTCCCTCCTCTCACCTTCCTCCTTCAAATAGACCTCACAGTTTGTCGTTTCCTTCTTTCTGTTCAAGAGTTATTTAGCTCCCACTTATAAGTGAGAATATGTGGCATTTGGTTTCTGATCCCGCATTAGTTTGCTAAGGAAAAGAGCCTCCAGCGGCCGGGCGCGGTGGCTTATGCCTGTAATCCGAGCACTTTTGGTGGCCAAGGCGGGTGGATTACCTGAGGTCAGGAGTTCGAGGCCAGCCTGGCCAATATGTTGAAACCCCGTCTCTACTAAAAATGCAAAGATTATCTGGGTGTGGTGGCAGGCACCTATAGTCCCAGCTGCTCGGGAGGCTGAGGCAGAAGAATCATTTGAACCCGGGAGGTGGAGATTGCAGTGAGCCGAGATGGTGCCACTGCATTCCAGCCTGGGCAACAGAGCGAGACTCTGTCTCAAAAAATAAAAATAAAAAAAAAAAGAAAGAAAAAAGAAAATAGCCTCCAGCTCCATCCATGTTCCCACAAAAGATGTGATCTCATTCTTTCGTATTGCTGCATAATATTCCATGGTGTATATGTATCATATTTTCTTTATCCAGTCTGTCATTGATGGGCATTTAGGTTGGTTCTATGCCTTTGCTATTGTGAATAGTGCTGCAGTGAACATTTTTGTGCATGTGTCTTTATAGTAGAATGATTTCTATTCCTCTGGGTATATACCCAGTAATAGGATTGCTGGGTTGAATGGTACTTATGCTTTTAGCTTTTAGAGGAATCACCATACTGCTTTCCACGATGGTTGAACTAATTTACACTCCTACCAACAGTGTATAAGTGTTCCCTTTTCTCCACAACCTCTCCAGCATCTGGTATTTTTTGACTATTAAGGGCTCTTAATAATATTATTTTATTCTTATTTATTTCATGGTCAAGTTTCCATGCAGATGGGAGATATAAATAGAGCCATCATCACATCGTTAACAGTACAAATTCTAAATATATGAGAGATATAAATGTAAAACTAAATCTGCTTAAACAATATTATTAATAGTCCTTATTATTATTTACATCCCTTAATATTATTATTAAGGGCTATTAATCATAGCCCTCTGACTTGTGGGAGGTGGTATCTCATTGTGGTTTTGATTTGCATTTATCTAGTGATAAAGTATATATTATCTTTCCTCTGCTCTAAGCCCTCCAGTGTCTCTCTATTTCACTCAGAGTAAAAGCTAAATTCATTATAATGGCATAAAAGCCTTACAGTCTGCCACTCATTACCTCTCTGACATCATCTACAAATCTGTTCTTTGATTATTCCATTTCAGTTGTACTGGTGTCTTTGCTATTCAGCAAACAAGACAGATATTCTCCCAGATTAGGATTTTGCACTAGCAGTTCTTTCTGCTTAGATCACTGTTCACATAGAAATTTACATGGCTAACTCTCTCACTCCTTTAAAGTATAAGCTCAAATATTGTCTTCTCAATGAGGCATACTCTGACCTTCCTTTTAATATAACTTACTCTATCCATGCTTTGTCACTCTAATCCCACCTATGTTGGTTTATGTTTTTATTTTTGCAACATTCATCATTAGCCAGCATAAGACCTTGGCTTCACAGAGGCTGAAGTTTTTATTGCTCCTGCATTGCGTGTGCCTAGAAGTGTGCCTGACATAGAGCAGGTACTCAATAAAAGCCTGATAATAAGTACAGGTGGAATCAGTTCTGTAAATTCCTAACTCTTTACATTTAGATAGATGCCTCATTTATATCTGAATTCATTGTCAATTAATAGTAAATTTCCACAGGCATATGTCAGATTTAGAGTCTATGATTTCTAATAATTACTTCCCCAAATTTTATATGTAGTAAACTGACTTAATAACTGAAGAAAATAGACTATTAAAGGTGCATCCAATCGTGATCCCTTGAAAGTATCTTCCAAGTTTAATAAGAAACTAATATCATAACAAATGTTAAATTTTTCCTTTCAAGTTTGTGGGAGGTGCAATTTGAAGCTTTCTTATTTTAACATATATCTCACACATCCCTCATAATTTGAAACCATTAAGAAATCTGAGATCCCTTGAAATTGAAACTAGTCTTTTAATTTTTTTCTCATTTTCACCGCACAGTAGTAGTGCTATGCCAGTCTTTTTTCCTCTTTAAATCCCTTAAAGAAAGCATGCAAGAACCACACTGTTAACAGATTTCATTCACTGTTTGGTGTTGTTAATTAAAATAAATTCAAACTTATATTCTCATATGATAGAAAATGACATCGAGATTCTATAATCCAAGCCTCTTAATTTATTGCAACATTAACTGAGGGAGAAAAATATTATATCATTTACCAATGCTCATACAATTAATTAATGTCAAAGTGAGGACAAAAATTCAGGTGCCTCAATGGATCCGAAGGTGATTTGGCTGCACTATCTGCCACCTCTTTGTTCACCAGAGTTGAAACTGCTGATCTGGTTGCCTAGACTGGTGTTTCCTTCCTCCCTCCTCGCACCCCTCCAGAACCTGAGCACTCGGTCAAGAGGATGACCTTCCCTTATAGAAAAGAACCAGTCTTCTGTAAAGAATAGAAGAGTAGCTGCACTTACCTGCTAGAAATTCCAGACAATTTCTCAAGATCCTTTTTCCTTTTACTTTTTTCTTTCCTTTTTTTTTTTTTTTTTTTTTTTTTTTGGAGACAGGGTCTCACTCTCTCACCCAGATTGGAGTGCAGTGGCCCGATCTCGGCTCATTGCAACCTCCGCCTCCCAGGCTCACATGATTCTCCTGCCTCAGCCTCCTGAGTAGCTGGATTACAGGCTAACACCACCACTGCACAGCTAATTTTTGTATCTTCAGGAGAGATGGGGTTTCAGGCTGGTCTTGAACTCCTGACCTCAAATGATCCACCCTCCTCAGCCTCCCAGACTGCTGGAATTATAGGCATGAGCCACCGCACGGGCCTCAAGATCCAATTCTAAGAGAACATAGAGTAGTCAAGCTTCCAAGACTCCAGACACATCCAAATGAGGTGCTGCATGTGGCAGTCTGCCATTTGTAAAGAAAGAAAGAAAAAAAAAACAGACTTTAGGTTCCTTAATTTTCAGAACAAAGTCCTTTCTATTATCCCATATTGTATTATCACTTGAAAAAAATCACCTATGTTTTTCATGGAATATAAAGGCATGTATAATATGCCATTATATATGTATATGTATGCATACCTATATATCTATATATAATATACATATGTATTTTTTCTGTTAGTTTCCATTTCCTCGTTCATGTCTTATAATAGATTTATAGATATGTGGACCCATACAAAAATGTTAAGATGTCAAATTTTTTAGTTTCTTTATGCCAGATCTAGAAAACTGCTGATGATAAGTTAATATAAAAATGTTTGCTCATATCATTTGAAGCATTTTATTCTCCAACTAATATTAAAAAAAACTAACAAAACCTTTCTAAATCATAGGGCATTTATATCTCACATACCAAAAAGTTTAGTCAGAAAGTTTGCAGAATTGGTTAATCAAATAGTTCAAAAATTTTATCAAATTTTCTTCCACATTTCCATCCTGTCATCTTCAGCTTGCAGACTTGTGCTCTTAGTGTGTCACTGTGCATAATCCAGTGATGGCTGACACTTTCCAAGGCATCACATGTACATGTCAGATTCTACATGAGGTAGAACTGTTCTTGTCTTGTGCTCCATTTTTAAAAAGGAGAAAGAAAATCATTGTATGAAGTCTTCCAGTTGATATCTTCTCATGTCTCTGTGGCAAGTCTTGTGTCAAACCTATGCCTAAATTAATCATTTGACAAGGGGATGAGGCTTACATTAATAAAATAAATTGGGTCTAATATCCTTGGAAAGCATGGGTTTTCTTTAGTAAAAACAAAGGTAAATAAGGGAGTTAAATAGGCAAACGATAATGCCATCCACTCTTCTCTCCTATAAAACAAAAAAATATATATTACATTGTTTGCATTTATAAGTTGGTGGAATATACACATTTTTGCTAACTTAGATGATAGTAAAACCAGCCAAACTTCAATCATAATTGAAATACTTCTATCATTGGGTCTTCATACTTTTTATTTGACTACTATGAAGATGTGTTTGTGCTACGACACAAGTCCTTGATTTCAATACAGTCCTAAAGGTCAATAGCCCATCATATAATCTCAGAATAAATTCTTTCCTCTTCTATTACTTGGAAAATATTATACAGAATTGGTACAATTTATTCTTATATGTTTGGCAGAATTCCCCAGTGAAGCCCTCTAAGCCTGGAAAATTTTTTTCAGAATGTTTTTAACTATAGATTCCATTTCTTGAGTAGTTGGACTATTCTTATTTTCTATTTCATCTTGAGTGAGTGTCAGTAGCTTCTGGTTTGTCTTCTCTATTTTGTCAGCTTTGTAAGAAGTTTATTATTAATAATTTTATTAATCTTTTTAAATAACAAGTTTTTGTTCCTTTAACTTTCTCTATGGCTTTTTCCTTTCAATTTCCTTCATTTATGTTCTTATATTTATTATTTCTCTTTTTGTTTGCTTTCAGTTTATTTTGCTTGTACCAAGTTTTTAAGCTAGAAAATATGTACACATATATAACAAACCTGCACGTTGTGCACATGTACCCTAAAACTTAAAGTATAAAAATAATAAAATTAAAAAAAAAGAATTTATGTAATAAGGGGGAAAAAAGCCGCCAAAGATAAAAGACATGTTACATGTAGAGAAACAAAGATAAGGAAGACAGATTTCTCATGAGAAACAGCTGGTGCCAGAAGATGTGGAAGTAATATATTTAGAGTACTGAAAGAAAAGAAGTTAAGTGTATAATTCTATATGTGGCAAAAACACCTTCTACAAACGGAGGCAAAATAAAAACTTTCTCAAATAAACTACAGATGAAAGCATTCATCACCACAGGACCTGCACCTTTAAAACTATTAGAAAAATTCCTTCAGGAAAATGTAAAATGATACCAAATGAAAGTATGGATCTGCAAAAAAGAAGAAGTTAGCAATGGTAACCACGTGGGTAAATCTAATTTTAAATAAAATGTTTAAATTTCTTTAAAAAAAAAAGAAAATTACATTGTTAATTTGAGAACCTTTATCTTTTCTAATATAAATACTTCATACGATAAGTTTCTCTCCTAGCACTGCTTTAGCTGCATCTCACAGATTTTGATTTGTCAAATTTATATTCTCATTCAGTTCAAAATACTTTTGAATCTCTCTTGTGTCTTTCTCTTTGACCCATGGATTATCTAATGTGTGTTAACTTCCAAATATTTGGAGTTTTTCTACTTTCTTTTGGTTATTAGTAGTTTAATTCCATAATGATCAGAGAACATATTTTGTATAATTTCAGGTTTTGTATTTTTATTTCTTATACCTAAGGTATGATCTGTCTTGGTGAATGTTCCATGAATGCTTCAAAAGCATGTGTACTTTCTTCTTGCTTAGTGAAGTGTTCTACAAATGTCGATTAGATCCAGGCAGCTTATAGTTTTTCTCAGTTCTATGCATTGTTGAATTTCTGTCTACTCATTGTATTTTTTACTGAGAGGGTATGATGAAGTTTACAACTATAAATTGAGTTTATTTCTTTCTTCTTGCAGTACTTCTTTTTAGTTTTTGCTTCATGTATTTTAACACTCTTTGTTAGGTGTATATACATTTAAGAATGTTATGACTTATGACTTCCTGGTGTTTTTACCATTTTAGCACAATGTAAGGTCCACCTTCGTTTCTGATAATTTTTGCTTTGAAGTCAACTTTGTCTGCTATTAGTATAGACACCTCTGCTTTTTAAAAGTAGTATATTAGTATATGGTATATCTTTTTTCATTTGTTTACTTTATTCTACTTATGTCACTACAGGTGGACTGAGTTTTTTGACAAAACATGTGGATGGTCTATATAATTTTTAATCCATGCTGACAATATCTGTCTTTTAATTGGTATGGTTGGGGCAGTTGCATTTATGATTTTTTTTCCTTCAACTTTTATTTTAAGTTCTGGGGTACATGTGCAGGAGGTGTAGGTTTGTTACATAGGTAAATGTGTGCTATGGTAGTTTGCTGCATAGATCAGCCCATCACCTAGGTTATTTTGTATGTATATATACTTTAAGTTCTAGGGTACATGTGCACAACGTGCAGGTTTTTTACATAGGCATACATGTGCCATGTTGGTTTGCTGCACCCATTAACTCATCATTTATATTAGGTATTTCTCCTAATGCTATCACTCCCCCTGCCCCCAACCCCATGATAGGCCCCAGTATGTGATGTTCCCTGCCCTGTGTCCAAGTGTTTTCATTGTTCATTTCCCACTCGTGAGTGAGAACATGCGGTGTTTGGTTTTCTGTCCTTGTGATAGTTTGCTGAGAATGATGGTTTCCAGCTTCATCCATGTCCCTGCAAAGGATATGAACTCATCCATTTTTATGGCTGATAGTATTCCATGGTGTATATGTGCCACATTTTCTTAATTCAGTCTATCATTGATGGACATTTGGGTTGGTTCCAAGTCTTTGCTATTGTGAATAGTGCCACGATAAACGTACGTGTACATGTGCCTTTATAGTCGTATGATATATAATCCTTTGGGTATATACCCAGTAATGGGATCGCTGGGTCAAATGGTATTTCTAGTTCTGGATCCTTGAGGAATTGCCATACTGTCTTCCACAATGGTTGAACTAGTTTATGCTCCCACCAACAGTGTAAAAGCGTTCCTATTTCTCCATATCCTCTCCACCATCTGTTGTTTCCTGACTTTTTAATGATCGCCATTCTAACTAATGTGAAATGGTCTCTCATTGTGGTTTTGATTTGCATTTCTCTGATGACCAGTGATGATGAGCATTTTTTCATGTGTCTGTTGGCTGCATAAATGTCTTCTTTTCAGAAGTGTCTGTTCATATCCTTTGCCCACTTTTTGATGGGGTTGTTTGTTTCTTGTAAGTTTGTTTAAGTTCTTTGTAGATTCTGGATATTAGCCCTTTGCCAGATGGGTAGATTGCAAACATTTTCTCCCATTCTGTAGGTTGCCTGTTCACTGTGATGGTAGTTTCTTTTGCTGTGCAGAAGCTCTTTAGTTTAATTAGATCCCATTTATTAATTTTGGCTTTTGTTGCCATTGCTGTCGGTGTTTTAGTCGTGAAGTCCTTGCCCATGCCTATGTCCTGAATGGTATTGCCTAGGTTTTCTTCTAGGGTTTTTTATGGGTTTAGGTATAACATTTAAGTCTTTAATCCATCTTGAATTAATTTTTGTATAACATGTAAGGAAGGGATCCAGTTTCAGCTTTCTACATATAGCTAGCCAGTTCTCCCAGCACCATTTATTAAATATGGAATCCTTTCCCCATTTCTTGTTTTTGTCAGGTTTGTCAAAGATCAGATGGTTGTAGATGTGTGGTGTTATTTCTGTGGCCTCTGTTCTGTTCCATTGGTCTATATCTCTGTTTTGGTACCAGTACCATGCTGTTTTGGTTACTGTAGCCTTGTAGTATAATTTGAAGTCAGCTAGTGTGATGCCTCCAGCTTTGTTCTTTTGGCTTAGGATTGACTTGGCAATGTGGGCTCTCTTTTGGTTCCATATGAACTTTAAAGTAGTTTTTTCCAATTCTGTGAAGAAAATCATTGGTAGCTTGATGGGGATGGCATTGAATCTATAAATTACCTTGGGCAGTATGGCCATTTTCACGATATTGATTCTTCCTATCCATGAGTATGGAATATTCTTCCATTTCTTTGTGTCCTCTTTTATTTCATTGAGCAGTAGTTTATAGTTCTCCTTGAAGAGGTCCTTCACATCCCTTGTAAGTTGTATTCCTAGGTATTTTATTCCCTTTGTAGCAATTGTGAATGGGAGTTCACTCATGATTTGGCTCTCTGTTTGTCTATTATTGGTGTATAGGAATGCTTGTGATTTTCGCATATTGATTTTGTGTCCTGAGACTTTGCTGAAGTTGCTTATCAGCTTAAGGAGATTTTGGGCTGAGACGATGGGGTTTTCTAAATATACAATTGTGTCATCTGCAAACAGGGACAATTTGACTTCCTCTTTTCCGATTTGAATACCCTTTATTTCATTCTCTTGCCTGATTGCCCTGGCCAGAACTTCCAACACTATGTTGAATAGGAGTGGTGAGAGAGGGCATCCCTGTATTGTGCCAGTTTTCAAAGGGAATGCTTCCAGTTTTTGCCCATTCAGTATGATATTGGCTGTGGGTTTGTCATAAATAGCTCTTATTTTGAGGGTTTTGACCCCTTGTGCTTCCCGGGTAAGGCAATGCCTGGCCTCGCTTCGGCTCGCCCTCCGTGGGCTGCACACACTGTCCAACCAGTCCCAATGAGATGGACCACGTACCTCAGTTGGAAATGCAGAAATCACTTGTCTTCTGCTTCGATCACGCTGGGAGCTGCAGACCAGAGCTGTTCCTATTTGGCCATCTTCTATCATCACCTAGGTTATTAAGCCCAGCATCCATTAGTTGTTTTTCCTGATGCTCTCCCTTCTCCCAACTCCAACTCCATCTATGCCCCTGCAAAATACACGATCTTTTTTTTTATGGCTGCATATTATTCCATGGTGTATATGTACCACATTTTCTTTATTCAGTCTATCATTGATGGGCATTTAGATTGATTCCATATCTTTGCTATTGTTAATAGTGCTGCAATGAACATACTCATGTATGTATCTTTATAATAGAATGATTTATATTCCTTTGGGTAGATACCCAGTAATGGGATTGCTGGGCCAAATAGTACTTCTGCCTCTAGGTCTTTGAGGAATTGCCACACTGTCTTCCACAATGGTTGAACTAATTTACGCTCCCACCAGCAGTGTAAAAGTGTTCC
Source organism: Homo sapiens (assembly GCF_000001405.40). Classification (NCBI taxonomy): domain Eukaryota; kingdom Metazoa; phylum Chordata; class Mammalia; order Primates; family Hominidae; genus Homo; species Homo sapiens. Next base: position 165,615,928 of record NC_000005.10, read on the forward strand.
TTTTTTTTCACATTTGTGATTATTAAGTTTTAATTTAGTTCTACTATCACATTATCTGCTTTTTGTTTATTTGCTCTGATTTTTGTTCCTCTGTTTTCCCTTTTTTATTTTCTTGTAGGTTTTTTCAAAATTATATGGTTCCATTTTAATCTGTATATTGTATTTAAAAGTATTTAAAAGTATAATGTGCATATAGTTTTCTTTGTTTTTTTTTTCTCTAGAGGCAGTAACATACCTACTTGACTTTTTGCAATCTACTTAGTCAATATTTTACCACTTCAACTGGAATATAAAAATCTTACTACCATGTAGGTCCTTTACTCTATCATCTTTATCTTACAGTTTTCTTATATGTTACATCTACATACATCTTATATGTTACATCTACATGCAATGATTTAAATTTAAATTGTCAAACATAGTCTAAAGAAATCAAGATGAGAAAATTAGTGTGTTGTATTTACTGACATATTTATCATCTTGGTTGCTGTTCCTTCATTCCTGTTTTCAAAAATTTCTTCTAGTATTATTTCCTTTCTGTCTGATAAAATTCCTCTGGAAATCCTTTATAGGAGGTCTGTTGGCTAGAACTCTAAATTTTTCTTTATCTTAGAATAACTTTATTTCACTTTCATTTCTTAAGGATATTGTCACTGAGTATAGCATTTTGAAATAAGGGACCTTTCCATTATTTAGAAAATGTGCCACTTTCTTCATGTGGGGCTTCTATGGTTTCTGATGAGTAATCTGCAGTAATTTAAATTACTGTTCCCTGTTAGGAAATGATTGCCCCACCCTCTTGGAGCCACAGCTCCACCAACTGGGTAAGAAGATTCCTTACCCTCAGGAGTTTGGCTGCTGCAAGCTTCTGTTACTGCTGAGTGCTGCTACCACTATGGTATTGCTTGGATCCTGGGGCAAAGGAGAACAGAGAAAAGAAACCAAAAAAATCGATGAATTATCACATTCCCTATGAGAATTAAATGCTCACTTTCTCACTCTCTAAGATAGAACTAGAAGGTTTTTCCTGGAGCTTCCTATATCTGTTCCCTAGTACCCAATTCTAGTGAATTGAATTTAACCAAGAGGGCACTTGAGGACAAAAAATGCTAACCTCACTGCCAGTTCAGTGGTATCTTGAATTCTGGCCTCCTACTCCAAATTTGCCTGCTTCTATTTACTTTTCTAAGACCTCAAATATCTGCTCCATGCATCTTGTCCAAATTTATTGCTGTACTCAGTGGAAGAAAGAAGATGGAGTGTGCTTACTCCATCTCACTCAGAACTACAGCTAGGGCATTTTTATGGTAATTAATTTTGTTCTTATTCGATTCAGAGAGCTTTTGTTCAACTCCTGTAAAGTGACTATTTGCATTCTGATTCTATATGCACTGCTATTGTGATTTTATATTCAAAGGAAACTTTATTCTCTAAGTTACCATTGGATACCTTACTGATTCTACATGTAACAACTACCATATTTAGCAAAATTTATTCTGTGTTTTCTAACAATTTTCTAATGCACTGTGGCAAATGTTAGCTTATATATTCCAACAATTTTGTCATGCATTTTATATTCTGTATCTGTATTTCCAAAGTTAAAATGAAATGGCTTGCATAAGTTGGTTTAGAAAATATGCATTTAATGGATGGAATGATGGATGGATGAGTGGGGGTACAGTTCAATAGAAGAATAAATATACACACTGCTTTCTAAAGGGAGCAATGTTTGGCCTTTTTCTACTCAAGGGTAGATGAGTCATGTGAATGGAGACTTTTATTCACTTCCTCAGTCTTACAAGGATCCTAAGTCTGATATTCTGTAGGGAAAAAGATGCCCCGAAGATAATCTTGTAGCTTTTAAAAAAATCTGAATAATGAATACTAGAAAAGCTAGTTGTTTGCTTTTCTGGGCCTATTATTCTCCACACCCCTAAATTATTCTGCAACGTACAAAACTAAACACTTTGTGGTAGAGACTCAACTGTTAAGGTAATAACTCAGAGGTGGAATAAGTTAGATATTTAGGAAGGCCTGGATATTCACTTGGCCATGAGGAGACAATTTGGGGCATTATAGCAGAGTGGGCTTCTGGAGGAATTTCCTCTAATCCCTTATTTCTTGTAGGCAGCATTGGAGTATGCCACACTTTTTACTAAAATGTTGAGGTTTGGGGAAAGGATAAGATGTAATCTAATAGGCATTTATCTTTAAATCCTTCCTACTCTTAGCATATCTCTGAGGAACAGCAACAGTTCTACAGTTTAATGTGACAGATGGTTGGGAGCAAAGTTAAAGAATTTAGAGAATTATTTATTGCTTTGAAACACCGAATTACAAATCAACCAAAAGGTCTCCTAGAAACTTGATAGAACTGTTGGGTCACCCAAAATGTGATTTGTGCCCAGAAGTTTCAGAATCAGAGAGAGCAGTTTCCTGTTTACTAGGTAAATGTCTCTGGAAAAGTTAACTAAAAAATCCAAGTCTCAATTGCTGTATTGTGAAATGAAAATAATAATGTTAACTTTTTGTTTTTTTTTCTTTTTTTGAGACAGAGTCTCCCTCTGTTGCCCAGGCTGAAGTGCAGTGGTGCGATCTTGGCTCATGGCAATCTCCGTCTCCAGGGCTCAAGCAATCCTCCCACCTCAGCCTCCAAAATAGCTGAGACTACAGACATGCACCTCCATGCCCGGTTAACTTCTATATTTTTTAATAGAGATGGAGTTTCACCTTGCTAGCCAGTCTGGTCTCAAACTCCCAGCCTCAAGTGATGCACACACCTCGGACTCCCAAATTGCTGGGATTACAGGTGTGAGCCATGGTGTCTGGCCAATAATACTGTTAACTTTGTCAGCTGATATAAAAACTAAATGACAAAATGGTTGGAAGTGCTGTATTAGTTTTATATGCTAGCTGTGAGAATTTGCCACAAATTTTTGGCCTAAAACACCATAATATTTATTATCTTACAGTTCTTAAGAGCAGGAGTTTGATGTGGATCTTACAGGGTGAGATCGAGGTTTTGGCACAGTGCTTTCCTTCTGGGGGGCTTTAGGGAAGAATTCATGTTTTGCCTTCTCCAGCTTCTATAAACCACCCATCTTCATTTTCTCATGGCCTTCTTCTTCCATCTTCAAGTTGAACAGTTTAAGACCGAGTCCTGCTCATGAGAGGAGCTCTTCAGTTCTCTTGTTAAGAGTTCTCTTTCCATTTTAAGAACACTCAGGATTACATTAGACACATCTCGATAATTCAGGCTAGTCTAGCTCCTTGAAAGTTACTGGGCATGGTGGCTCACGCCTGTTATCCCAGCGCCTTCGGAGGCCAAGGCGGGAGGATCACCTGAGGTCAGGAGTTTGAGACCAGCCTGGCCAATATGGCGAAACCCTGTCTCTACTAAAAATACAAAAAAAAAAATTTAGCCAGGCATGATGGCACATGCCTATAATCCCAGCTGCTTGGGAGACTGGGAGAGGACAATCACTTGAACCCAGGAGACAGAAGTTGCAGTGAGCTGAGATCGTGCCACTGCACTCCAGCCTGGGTGACATAGCAAGACTGCATCTTGAAAAAAAAAAAAAAAAAAAAAAGTTACCTGATTAGCAACCCTAATTTCATCTGCAACTGTAATTCTTCTTTGCCAGGTATCCTAATATATTCACATGTTCTGGGAATTAGAATGTGAAGATTTTTGGGTAGGGGAGCATTATTTTGCCTATTTGAAGTGCTAATTATTATTGGCAGGTTCTTCGGTTTCTATTTTTAGTCTGTGGAAACAACAATAGTATCAATTTCAATTTCATAGTGTATTTGTGATAATTAAATAAACTAGTGGACATAAAACATCAAAGAGATCTTTTAGTAAATGATAGCTATTACTTAGTAGTTAGAGTCTAGTTTTTCACACTAGTAAAATAATAATTGATATATTAAGAAATTTAATATTGTGAAAATTAGAGAGAATATGTGTATAGTTCCTAACACTTCTTGGTTGTACAAACTCAGTTTAGTTACTTAACATTTTTGGTCCTTATATTTCTCATCTGTAGAATATGCTCAATAATTGCATAGCCCTCGTAGAATTTTTGAAAAGATAAAATTTAAAAATGGACATAGAGCTTTTAGCATGTTACCTGATACCTAATAAGTGCTCAATAGCAAGTTAGTCATTATTATAATTTGTAATAATAACACAAATTTTTATTATTAATTTTTGAGACAGGGTCTCGTTCTGTTACCCAGGCTGTAGTGTATCGGCTTGATCATGACTTACTGCAGCCTCTACCTCCCAGGCTCAAGTGATCCTCCTCCCTCAGCCTCCCCAGTAGCTGGGACTATAGGCATGTGCCAATACACCTGGCTACTTTACATATTTATTTTTTGTAGAAACGGAGTCTCACTTTATTGCCCAGGCTATAATAATACAAAGCATTAATCATCTCTACATGTTCTATGATCTATAGCTCTTTCTACAATAACTTCCTCTTAAAAGATTTCTCAATTTTCTTGGCATAATCAATGTTCTATGAGAGAACTGGGAAAGTGTTTGTCATGGACAGATGGATTCAGTCTCTCCAGCCAAACCAGATTACTCCCCACATGCAGAATCTCTCCCTTTTCCAGAGGCCTATTGAGGTTGAGTCAAAAGCAAAGATAAATGGGCATTCTTAGGCTGACCATAAGCCAAGAGAAGAGAGGACATATCCTTGCCAAATTCATGTGTACTAGAAGTGACGCACAGCCAGATGGTGCAAGCCATGGAGTTCTAACAATCTACAGAATGTCTTGAGAAGCATCTGGTTATTTAAAGATTTCTGAAGCCATTCTTATTCATCAGCCTCTTTCACTGGCCTGAGGTTATTATTTGAGACGCTATCATTCGGGGGAACTTTTCTTAACAAAGAGTGTACATTTATCCATCTGTTCATAAATTATCTATTAAAATACAACCTGAGTCCAAGCTTTTTATAATGGGATGGGATCTGACCCTTCTTCCCTTCTTTGCTTTTTTCCACTGAGTGACATTTTATGTGCACCAAGGCCAGGAAATGTATTGTTTTTTTCAAATACACATGCTATCTTCTGAGGCCTTTTTGTTTGTATATATCTTCTATTCCTTCTACCAAGAATGCTCTTAGCCTCCTTATCCACTTAGAAAACCTGTATTGACCATTCAACAGCTGTCTCAGATACTACTTCCCTCTCCACATCTCTTTGCCAATTGTCCATCTCTCCATTTCTAAGCTACCTTCAGGCCTTGTATTGGTCCTTTCCTTCCACTTAGAATATACCATTATGACTTGTTTCTTTACTATCTTGTCCACCAACTACATAGTGATCTACTTGAGGCAGAAAACATGTCTTTTCTATCTCCATGTCCCATATAGCAGCACAGAACCTAGTACACTGCTGAAAGTATGGCAAATTTTTGACAAAGGAAGCAGTGAACTCAAGAATATTTGAGCTCCAAGAATCATTGGCTTAAAAAAATAATTTATGAAAAGGATATGGAAGTATTAATGAAACTAAAGATTGGAAAGGGAAGCTGGGGCTCAAATGAGCAGTTGTCAGTTTCATGACTGATTCTCTCCATCTCTCACTGTTAAAAATTCCTTGGTTTCTGTGACACTGGACACATCTATTTCCTTTTTTCCTCTCTTCAGCCTGCTGTCTTTGCATCTCAAGCAAAAGAGGCAAGAAGATAGGTACCCCAAAATGACCACCTTAGTCTCCTCTGTATTATGGTTCTCTAGAGGTACAGAACTAATAAGATATAAATATATGAGTTTATTAAGTATTAACTCACATAAACAGACAGTCCCACAATAGGCCATCTGTAAGCCAAGGAACAAAGAGAGCCAGTCTGAGACCCAAAACTGAAAAACTTGGGTTCCAATGTTCAAGGGCAGGAAGCATCGAGACTGGGAGAAAGATGTAGGCTGGGAGGCTAGGCCAGCCTAGTCTTTTCATGTTTTTCTGCCTGCTTTATATTCTAGTCTTGCTGGCAGCTGATTAAATGATGCCCACCCAGATTAGGGGTGGGTCTGCCTTTCCCAGAGCACTGAGTCAAATGTTCATCTCCTTTGGCAACACCCTCACAGACACACCCAGGATCAATACTTTACATCCTTCGATCCAATCAAGTTGACACTTAGTATTAACCATCACACCCCCAAAATGAAATGTCTTTTCCATTCACTCATATTATGAAGAACAACTAGGCTTCTTGAACCTTAATAACAGTTTGTCAGAGAGAGAATTTGATTGGTCCTCTTAGGTTAGATGACTCTCATAAGCCAATTAACAACAACCAGGAATTTGGGGACTTGAGGTAGAATTAATACTAAGGAGGCATTATGGGGCTTTCCAGATAAGGAGAGGAGAGAATGTTGGTCGGGACAAAATCTATCTGCCACATATAAGCAAGAGAAGTAACTGAATTCTTACATATCAAAATGAATAATTTTACCGAATTGCCTTTTTCCTTGAGCAAACTGCCTAAGGTCATGTGAGTAGCCCTGATTGCTTTGGCAAAAGGGCTTCCCAGACATGATGTCATTGGGAAAAGCCACATTTATATCTCAATTCTTCTAGGCTAAGCCTACTTTCTTCTACCACCCAGAAGCTTCAGGGACTTTGTTGGTACCTTCTACACACAGAGCCACTCTTAGGGGCTGCCGTGTATTTATTAACCACCACCAGCACTCATTATGGATGTGTTAAAAATTCAGATCCTTAGAGAACACAGTAGATCGAAGTATTGACTCCTGTTTCACTTTCCCCATCTGTCCAAACATCAATAACAGCAGTGTATGGGGGGCTGGAAGCACTGGGCTAATGTACCTCCTTCGATCATAATTCCAGAGTCCGCCTTAATTAAGATTGATTTTTGCCCCTATGTTGTACATCTCTTAACTAACAGAAAAGTCGCGAGGGCACACTTTAAGCATTAAGAATGTGAGGATTGAGGAGGAGGGCGTGGAAACATATCTTGTGCTCATGGAGTCTAGAAACCGCATGGCTGGTATGCTTCAAATAAATCCTCAAGCCGATTCCTAAGGCATTGAAGGAGTCACATAAGGGCACTGGAAAACTGAATTGCTCTTCTGACTCACTTTCTTGCATATGTGCTGCCTAGGTGCATTATTGTTTATGAAAGGAAAAAAAAAAGACACTTTAGATTAAGCACATGAAGGTCACGGCAGGCCAGAGGTATCTGCTTTTTTCTTAGACATTTTCAGAAACATCACTATCATCAACAAAATTCTTCTGAGTGCTCACAATCCTGCAGGCTCTTTCAAAATACTTGTGCTCAACAAAGGGAAAGTGCAGCCTCTGCCCTCAAGCAAATTACAATCTAGAGAAGAAAGCAGACATGGCATTAAGAAAAAGAGAAAGTGAAACCATGCAAGGCACAGAATGAAAAACACTACATAAAGGGATTTTGATTAGTTGCGACTCTGCACCTTCATCCAGCTACTGAAAGGGAGGCTTCTTCGGGAAAATAACTTGACAGACATTGGTTTTTGTTTTTGTTTCTAAGGAAGGATCGGAACAGGAGCTTGTTGGATTAGGAGAAGGAGACTGTTCTAAAGATTGTGAATATTTTGTGCCAGGATTTCTAGCTCTCTGTTTATTGAAGCAAATTATGAGGATAAAAGGTCATGGAACTGTGTGTGTGTGTATTGTGTGTGTGTATTGTGTGTGTGTATTGTGTGTGTTGTGTGTATATGTGTGTGTTGTGTGTATATGTGTGTGTGTATTGTGTGTGTTGTGTGTATATGTGTGTGTTGTGTGTGTGTATAGCATACAGAATACTGTACTTCTAAGAAATGCACATTATAATTGTTACCTTCTCACATGGCAGTTACTCTGTCACACAAACCAATACACCAAGCTTCAAATGTTTATTTTTATAAATATTTAAGCAAAAGCTTGTAATAACTGCCTTTTCTCTGGTTTTCTTTTTGTCTTTTGCCCTGAATTGACTGTGGAAAACATATACAATAGTACCCTCTTATTCATCGGGGATGCATTCTAAGATACCTAGTGGATGCCTGAAACAAGAACTAGTACTGAATGCTGTCTACCCTATGTTTTTTTCTATACATGCATACCTATGATAAAGTTTAATTTATAAAATAGGCATAGTAAGATATTGACAACATTAACTAATACTAAAATGGAATGATACCACGACAATTGCTCTGATAGGCAAGATGGCTACTAAATGTCTAATGGGTGGGTATGGCATGGATATGTTGGACAAAGAGATGATTTGTGTCTGGGGTGGGGAGCAGGACAGTGCAAGATTTCATGGCTATACTCAGAATGGTGCACAATTTAAAACGTCTGAATTGCTTATTTCTGGGATTTTCCATTTAATGTTTTCAGAACGTGGTTGAACCGGGGTAACTAAAACCACATAAGGGAAAACTGTGGGCAAGGGGAAACTACTGTATTGCATATATTTGTGTGACATAAATTTGAGATGGGTTTGAGGAACTTCTGGTGGTAAGACTAGGAAATCCTCATGCTGTTTATAATAGAAAAGTTGCTATGGGTTGATACACATCCCCCATATTTATATGTTTATAAGTCCTAACTGCCCATGCAATGTCATTTGGAGACGCAGTTTTGACAAGGTTGTGAGAGTGGGGCCTTCTTGAGGAGATTAGTAGCCCCATAGGGGACACCAAAGAGCTTGCTTTCTCCTCCCTCCTCTGCTCACTCCACCATTTGAGTTACACAGCAAGAAGGTACTGCCTGTAAGCCAGAAAGAACACCCACACCAGATCCCAACTGTGCTGGCACCCTGATTTCAAACTTCCAGCTTCCGGAACAGCAAGAAAATTAAATTCTGTTGTTTAAGCCAGCCAGCCTGTAGTATTTTATTGTGGCAGCCTGTGCCGACTAGTACGGAGGTTGTTAGGATTCAGTGCCAAGGACCAGCGTTGCTATTGAATCCAGGCAAATACTTTTTCAGTGTCTTTCCAAGGCCATTCAATCTTTTGTCTCTGTCCTCCTCAAACGTCTCTCCATTCTTCTTTATGCAGACAAGACTGAAAAGTTCCCAAGAGAATGAAGAAGAAAAGTGAAGGGAAGAAGACAAAGAGAAAGGCAAATGTATTGTGTATCTAAAAAGCATGTGTGCGGTTCTGCTAGGTAGCCAGCACTGAGATTGGGAGGCGAAGGATTACCTTAATACCACTTTCTTGATATGTAGTGAGTGATGAAATGCATGGTTCAAATCTTGGTTCATGACCAGCTTAGTAACAGCAAGAGCAGTAGTCTTCTAATGCCCATTTATGAGTCCTAACTTGGAATCCATATTAGTCAGAAGAGGCTAAGTTATCCTAAGGGAAAAAAGAAACCCTTCACTCAATAAAAGCTTGATTCCTCCTCACATTATATGTTTATTTGGGCTTGTAGAGGGGCTCTGGTCAAGACCCAGGCTGATGACATTCCGTCCTCTGCTAAGTGAACCATTTGGAACTCAAGATCAGATCTCCATGATTGCTTCTTTGACACTGAGCAGAGAAGGTGAAAGCTGAAGGGTTATTCGTTGGCTCTTAAATTATTTAGCCTGGAAATATAACGACTTTCTCTAACCCCATTGATTGGAAGTAATCATGTGGACTCTTATCTCCCTTCTTGTATATGGTTTTCCAATGAAACATGAAATCATCTCCTACTGGATCTGAAACTAAAAGGGCTTATTTGAGGATACTGTAATATAAGGTGATCTATCATGAAAATTCAGGTTAAGTTGTATCACCTAGGCCAGCATTTCACAAAGTGTAGTCTCTGAACTAGTTGCATCATCTTGACACATGTTAGAAGTATAAATTCTTGGCTGGGCATGGTGACTCACGCCTGTAATCGCAACACTTTGGGAGGCCAAGGTGGGTGGATCATTTAAGGTCAGGAGTTCGAGACCAGCCTGGCCAACATGGTGAAACCCCATCTCTATAAAAATACAAAAATTAGCTGGGCAGTAGTGACACACGCCTGTAATCCCAGCTACTCAGGAGGCTGAGGCAGGAGAATCCCTTGAGCCTGGAAGGTAGAGATTGTGGTTGGCCGAGATGGGGCCACTGCACTCCAGTCTGGGTGAGAGAGTGAGACTCTGTCTTAAAAAAAAAAAAAAAAAAAAAAAAAAAAAAAAAAAAACCAGAAAAATTCTTAGTCCCCTCCACTCTGAAGGTAGGGCTCAGCCATCTGTTTAAACATGCCCTCCAGTGTTTCTAGTGCACACTAAAGTTTAAGAAACATTGTTCTAGTCTGAGGGGGTCATATAGCTATGAAAAGCTCTAAAATGCAAATAGAATTTTAACTATGAATCACTCTTGTCTAGTGTATTCATGAGAGTTTTTAGCTAGATCTAATAGCAACAATCATAATAGTTTATCTTGTGCTAGACACTATGCTCAGTGCCTGACAAGGTACCATTCTCACAATAAGTTTATAACATAGGTCCTTTTGTTATTTCTGCTTTACAGATTAATCTCTCTGGGCTTTAAGAGAATAAAGCCCTGAGTTTGTGAGAAAAGAAGCTGGTATATAAACCCCAGAAGTAAATCAGAGCAGGCATTTTAATAGACTCTAGCTGGTCAATTTATTTCTCTTACTAAAACTTAATCCAACCTAAATCTTTTACTTTTTTTCCTTCCAAAATTTCTACACACGGTGGCTGAGCTCTTTCCACTGGAAAGAAGAAAGGCCCAATTCTGCAATCTTTGTTCCCTTTGCCTTTCTGACTGGGCTACATTCCTATCCCCCACAATTTGCAAATTCTATGCATTTGATGACTGCGTCCTCCTACTGCTGTTGTTACTATATATAAGTCCTCCTTCTTGGGACATCCAGGGTCAGCCTCTCTGGTTGCGTTTTGTCAAAATTATCTGCCCCGATTCTTGAACTCACAGGTCACCATGAGCACGTAATGAGAGGGGCTGACAGCGCATCCCCTGAAAGCCTATCCTTGAGGATGGTTAAGCCTATTCTGGGGTGCTCTTAGGAGGACAGAAGGTACTTCAACTCTTAGCAATTAAAATGGATCCTCTCCACTTTGGGAGGCCGAGGCTGGCGGATCACGAGGTCAGGAGATCGAGAACATCCTGGCTAACATGGTGAAACCCTGTCTCTACTAAAAATACAAAAAATTAGCTGAGCGTGGTGGCGGGCGCCTGTAGTCCCAGCTACTTGGGAGGCTGAGGCAGGAGAATGGCGTGAACCTGGAAGGCAGAGCTTGCAGTGAGCCGAGATCGCGCCACTGCACTCCAGCCTGGGCGACAGAGCGAGACTCCGTCTCAAAAAAAAAAAAAAAAAAAAAAAAAAAAAAAAAAGGATCCTCTCTGCTCTAATTCCACCTCCTTTATTTTTAAATCCCATCTAGGTGTTTTGCTACAACTATGTTCCAATGGTGTGGGCTTCCTGCATTCACTCTCTTGGAACAAGAAAGGTGGGCTGTATTCGTTTGTTATTGCTACTGTTAACAAATTGCCACACCCTCAGTGGCTGAAAACAACAGAAATGTACTATCTTATAGACTGCAAGTCAGAAATCTGATACAGGTATCAGTGGGCTAAAATCAAGATGTTGGCAGAGCGGCATTTCTTTCTGGAAAGTCTAGGAGAAAATGTTTTTTTGCCCTTCCCAGCTTCTATGGCTACTCACCATTCCTTCGCTCACTGCTCTTTTCTGTCTTCAAACCCAGCACTTTCTTAAATCATATCTATCTGACAATAATTTTTCTGCCTCTTTTTTCCCTTATGATTACATTGGGCCCATCAGATAACCCCAAATAATCTAATTTTAGGGTGAGCTGATTAGCAAACCTAATTCCATCTGCGACCTTAATCCCTCCTTGTCGTGTAACATAACACAGTCACAGGTTCTGGAGATGACAATGCGAGCATTCTTTTGGGGAGCCAGTATTCTGCCTACCACACTGACCAAATCACGACTTCAAATTGCATCCCTTTACTGCCCACAATGTTTGGTTTATGAAAGCAGCAACTATGTAAGCATGGAATTCCAGGCCAAGGGATCTCCCTTATCGATCTCTTAAACAACCTACTTCCGCAGTAAACATGGCTGGTATGTTTACAAACCTCCCAGATACCCTTTGATTTTTTTTTCCCTACCAATCTATGTAATGCTTCTGGTTCCAAAACTTCTATCCTGTGAGATGTCCTTGACACCTCCACTCAACGCAAATTACTCCAGATTTCTCTGTCTTTAACATTCTTTCTTGGTATCTAGAATTTATTACACATTTCTTTCTGCCCAACAGCAACTATTTCATAGATTTCTTAATTTTCTCTGTGATACGGGCATTTTGCTACTTTGTTATGTATTTTTTCTTTTTCCCTTAGTAATGTGCATTTTTTTTTTTTTTTTTTTTTTTTTTTTTGAGACGGAGTCTCGCTCTGTCGCCCAGGCCGGACTGCGGACTGCAGTGGCGCAATCTCGGCTCACTGCAAGCTCCGCTTCCCGGGTTCACGCCATTCTCCTGCCTCAGCCTCCCGAGTAGCTGGGACTACAGGTGCCCGCCACAGCGCCCGGCTAATTTTTTGTATTTTTAGTAGAGACGGGGTTTCACCTTGTTAGCCAGGATGGTCTCGATCTCCTGACCTCATGATCCACCCGCCTCGGCCTCCCAAAGTGCTGGGATTACAGGCGTGAGCCACCGCGCCCGGCCAGTAATGTGCATTTTTAGCTTCTTTTAGTCTCTAATGTCTAATGCAAAGTTTTGTTCATTTTTGCCTACGTATTTTTCTCACACTCATGTCACATACAAATATTTGCTTTAAAAAAAGAAGTTCATCAGAGTACTTTATAATTAGTTGAATAATCCATAATCCTTGGTCAATTACCTCTGTTCTCATTATTTTACCATCCTTTCTAAGAGAAGCCTTTGATAGAAGTCTTTCTTGATAAAAAAAATTCAGCTCCTCAATCTAGCATCTACAAATAGCCAGGATTCTTCAAGAGCTTGCAATACTGTTTGTAACACTATGCTAAGAACTCGACATGTCTTATTAGGACCAGAAAATTCTAAATTATATACTCTTCTTTCTCTTCTCAACTTGTAGTCAGTTTGACTTTGAGTTGCAAAGAGTTCAGGTAACTTACTTGTGTTCACATAGCAAATTAGGGCCAAAACTGGCTTGATCTGAGCTCCTGATCACAAACTCCAAAGTCGTTAGCAATAAGGTATAGGTCTTGGCTCTCTGAGGTTCTCACTTCATTTGCTCAACCACCAGCCTGAGGAACCATGCAAATCACATCTATTAAAACACAAACTGTCTTTCCAATTCAATTCAATAAGTATTTATTGAATGTATGCCGCATTCCAGGTGTCATTTACCTGTGATTCTGCAATGTTTATGCCAACTCAGCCTTAGAGCATTATACACTTTCTTCAGAAGAGAATGTGATCTGAGATCAAATATAGAAGTCATTAATGTCAAGGACATTCTTAAAATTGCTATCGATGCAAAAGCTTTCAAAACATACTGTATAGATGTTGATAAGAAGATAAAAAAGATAAACTTGATTTGAATAAAGGAAAATCAGCAGCAGTTGTTTTGTCAGTTCTTCTCAGAAAGCAGTTGTACTTAACATGGAGCAATATGTCCCAGAGATGTTTGCATAGAGTGGAAATTAATACCATAAAAGCTACTGGGATCCTTGGTAATGGAAAGCTAAGATGTAAGAAAGGGGTATAGAGGAGAAGCGGGGAAGGAATCAATGTGAACAGTTATCTTGAGAGATGGTTAATTTTTTGTCTATGTGTGTCACACATAGACACACATATAGCACTTATGTTCTGGGGCTTATATTTTTTAGAGACAGTGTTACTTCTGCTTTCAAGGGATGGTGTAATATTAACTCAATCCTTTGGCTTCTGGTCATGTCTCTTTAGAAAGACAACAAAAGACAGACAGTGAATATAAACTAACAAGGGATCCTCTGAAGCACTGAGCCCAGAGCTCGTGTTATGAACCTGAGAGGGCAGAGGGGGTTAACTAACTATGGCTGAAGACTGGAGCCCACCGTTCAGCATCTGCCTTTCTACTGTACTGGGGCCGTAAGAAATCTTGGGGGCCAGTCAGACACCCGAGGCTGAGTAAATTTTGCCTGTGTGCACTTTTAGAAAAATTCCAAGAGTTAGTTTTCATTTGTGAGTTCTATTAATTCCATCCTCTGACTCGTCCTTCTTCATACCTAACAGCATCCTCCAGAAGCTATAAAAATCTCTAGAGGTCCTTGAAGTAATGAGAAAGCTGATGTTTTCTCCCCCTCTCTAATAATTATACTTTGATTTCTCCACAACAGCCTTTAGTTTACAGCCAGTTGTCAGTACAACTTTTTGCAGCTTTAACCTCTCTGTGATGTGTTCTGCCCTCTCGCCTGCAGATTCGTCCTCAGCGGGCAGCATCCCCTTTGCAATTTCCCCTCTCTGTGAATTTGTCCACTAGGTGGAGCTGTAACAACTTCGCTCACAGATCACAGCGAGAGACAGATTAAATTCACTGACCACTGCTCAGTACTCTGGGGAAGCATACTGCTATAGCCCAGAATTGCAAATCAAGTGCGGAGTCAGAAAACAGGACAACAAATCCCATAACAGGAACACAATTGGAGATAACAAATTCCATGGGACAAATGCACGCTGATTCCACGAGTGAGTCCTGTGTTAGGCCTTCTAAGAATTGCTGGCCTAATTCCTGTTAGGTTTATGGTGAGTCAAAAGTCACCCTGCACCCAGGGTCAGGAAGTGGGGGCTCTGCGCCCAACTCTGCCACTCACCAGCTGTGGACTCTGATCTTTCTGAGACTCCATGCTCATATCTGTAAAATGAGGGAGTTAAAGGAAATTATTTTGAAGGTCACTTCCAGCTGTAACTCTGGATTTTACTATAAAATGGTAATCAAATTGTAACCTTTTTTTTTTTTTTTTTTTTACAGAAACAAGAGGGTGTGAGTGTAAGTGCCTTTGCCTTAAATCTTGCTTCTGAGTTAAAAAATTCATCTATGTCTATCCATACCTACATTGATAAACAGGCGTGAAGGTGAATGTTTTTCTCCACTTTTAATTAACATTTTTAAAAAAGGATCAAGTAAGGGATTCCTACTGTAAATGTGAGATGTTGATTTTGAAAGTTAAAGACAAAAGAGTGGCCTTCCATGAGGAAATTCACTCACCAACTTCTCTCCTTCAAATAAGCTTTCCGAGCAAATTTAATTCATTGAGTTGAATGTTGGCTGGGTGTAGTGGCTCATGCCTGTAATCCCAGTGCTTTAAGAGGCCGAAGCAGAAGGATTGTTTGAGGCCAGGAGTTCAAGATAAGCCTAGGCAACATAGCAAGACCCCACCTCCACACACAAAAAAAAATTAAAAATAATAATAAGCCAGGTGTGGTGCATGCCTGTAGTCCTAGCTACTCAGGAGGCTCAAGTGGGAGGATTGCTTGAGCCCAGGAGTTCCAGGCTGCAATAAGCTATGATTGCACAACTGCATTCCAGCCTGGCTGACAGAGCAAGACCCTGTCTTTTAAAAAAAGAAAAGAAAAAGGAAGAAAGAAAAGAAAAGAGAAGAAAAGAAAAAGAAAAAAGTCTACACCTTTATTCATACAGGACTTTGCATGTCAACATTCTTTTTTATTGTGATGAATTAACACCACTGGATTGCAGATATGGCATAGTTTCCTTCTCATTGAGAAATGTGAATATCCCCTATTTACAGTTCATTTAGGACTTATGTTTCATGCTTGTGCCTCAGTTTTACATCCTGAAACAAATTCCTTTATTTTTAAAGCATCCAGCCTACTTTGGAGAAAATTTCTCTGTAACCAGAATGAATACATCTTTTGTCAGCAGAGATCAAAAATTGACACTTGCCTTCCTCTCCTGTCTAAAATCTTTTGTTCCTCTCCCCAGCCCATGGCACTGAAAACTGATCATTTTAATCTGCTCTTTGTAAAACATTAATTGGATATACAGAAGCACAGAAAACGTAATAGGTATTATTTTATGATGGAAAGGGCATCAGAGATCATTCAGTTAAACCTTTTTATTACACCAATGAGGAACTGAAGACCCAGAGGTTAAGTGGCTTACCCAGAGTTATTCAGTGAATAAGTGAAAAATAAAGATTCTTCTAGAAGGAATCTCAGATGAACAAAAGGCAAGCTAAATCTATTGTTTATTTTCCCTACCTATGTAATCTTAATAGTCTGACACGAGGATAACTTTGTGTCTCTAAATTGGGATCACCTATTCTGAGGCTGGCAAGTAGAATCAATGCAGACCAATGTCTAAGGTGTGTCTGGTTGTCTGATAAATGTACTAGGGCATTGTCTTCCAAAATGTATTCTGTGGCAACTAATCCAAAGCAAAGGCCCACCAAAAGGGCTCTCCGTCAAGTACATTTAAAAAGACTCTCTCCTTGACCAAACTTTAGTTAGGGTTCTCTGAGCTCTCTTCTCGAGTATGCCTGGACCTTGGTTCCACTCCTGTCTTCTGTCCACCCAGTTCTGTTGTAGCAAGAATCCTGCTAAGTTGGTTTAGCAAGAATTCCAAGCCAGGGCAACATAGTAAGACTCTGTCTCTACAAAAAATAATAATAATAAATTAAATTAGCTGGGCTTGGTGGAATGTGCTTATGGTCTCAGCTACTTAGGAGGTTGAGGTGGGAGGATTGCTTGAGCCCGGGAAGTTGAGGCTGCAATGACGCATGATAGCACCAGTGGACTCCAGCCTGGGTGTTAGAGTGAGACCCTGTCTCATAAAAGGAAAAAAAAGCAAGAAAGAATTCTCTACCTTTGTTATCTGATTACCCTGGCCCTGGCCTGATTTCAGCAATAATCTTGCTAAGACCCTTGATGTCTCATCTTCGTGCTTTTTCGTTCACTGACCCTCTCACTCTGCTTGTTGGCTATAAATCCTAAGATACCTCTCCTATATCAGAAGCTGAACTCAATCTCAATCCCCTGTCACAATGCCCCCATTGCAATACTCTAGAATCTTGAATAACCCTTCCTTATCATTTTAACAGATGCCAGACTAATTTTTTCTTTAACAAAGTACAATGAAATACTACATATTGTACTTTACAGAGAATCCATTACACATATACCACATTGATGTCTCTAAGAAGTTTGACAATAGAGAAAACTGTTTCACACAATTTAAACCACCACTGCCAAATCGTCTGCATTTTTGAAGGATTATATATTAACCTGCATGTGACTGAGTTCTCATATAATTCATTTTGTAATCAAAACCAGCTCCATTTCTCGTGTCACTATCATCAGCTTCTCATTTTTCTAAGTCTGCATACCCCAGTGGAGAACACAGAAAGGAAGATGGAGGCAGGATGGCCAGGATTTCTCTCTGCTTGTGAGAAAGCATGATACCCAAGCTGCTTACATGTTCCCAAGGAAGCATGTCTCATGACAGGAAATGAACCTGTAACCAGGAACCTAGGTATGTAAACTGAAGAGAGAAATGGAAATACACCATGTTGATTCAGAGTCTTCTTGCATTCTCTGGCTTACAGACCTGTATATTTTGAGGTCATGCAGGTCAGGAAGAGGAAAGAGAGCAAATGTAGTGGAAAATGTGTGGTGTGGTTTCTTACTCTGCATCCTTTCAGTTGTGTGATCTTGGTGTAGTCACATGCCTTATATGAGGCTCTATGACATCAGCCAAATGGGAACGCTTGGGCCTGATCTTCCTGCCTCAGGGTCTTTATGAATTCAAAGGATATAGAGGATGGGAAAGTTGTGTATAGTGCTTCACAAACATAAGCACCTATGCTTATTGTTGTGTAAGATAGATGGCAAAATTATAGTTTCATTCTTTTTCGAATTTACTCTGAGGTGGAAATTTTGCCTTATGTTATTTAGGCAGAATACTTACTATTAGATACATAGGGTTAGAAAGAATGCTTCCTTGTAATTGAATGAAATAAAACAGTGGAGGCAGAGGAATACGTACTAGACCCGATCCACTAAATTAGAAGAGCTGCTAAGGGTTGTATAAAACCATATCATCATCCCATTTTGTGGCTGAAAAATATATTTAATATGCTACAGAAAACCGTGCTAGAATAGAAATTTCATCCATGTGTAGCCTCGAAAAGACCTTAAAGAATACCTTTTAAAAGCTTATGATTAAATAGCTTCTTTTCATCAAAGTCAATGTAAACCAAAGGGTATCTGAGTCAAGTCTCAGTCAATTTAGGAATTTTATTTTGCCAAGGTCAAAGACACACCCATGGCACAGCTTTAGGAGGTCCTGAGGACATGTGCCGAGGTGGATGGGACACAACCTGGCTTCATACATTTTAGGGAGACATAGGACATCAATCAATATATGTAAGATGTACGTTCGTTCAGTTCAGAAAGGCAGGACAACTCAAAGTGGGGACGTGGCTTTCAGGTTGTAGGTAGATAAAAAACAAATGCTTGCATTCTTTTGAGTTTCTGATTAGCCTTTCACTGAATATGCAATTTACAGGAATAGTTACCTCCACCTTAGGCTGGCTTAGTGAAACAATAAAGCAGAGGAAGAACTCAGATAAGCATTTGTCTCCTGTGAGCAGAGAGACGACTTTGAGTTCTGTCTGTCCTTTGTCCACAAGAAATTTCCTTGTGGGCAACTTGTGAGGGAGGTACGTAGCTTCTTATCTTTGTAGCTATCTTATTTAGGAATAAAATGGGAGGCAGATTTGTCTGACATAGTTCTCAGCTTGACTTTTCCCTTGGCTTAATGATTTTGGGGTCCCAAGATTTATTTTCCTTTCACATAGGTAATGACCTCATGGGTGCTTTTTCCACCAGTGTGGCTTCCCCACAGAGAGGTGCTGGTTTCCTCTCTGAGAATAAAGAACACTATTGATTCAGAAGAAAAGAACACATGTTATCTAATGCCCTGTGCTGGTGGGGTTAGGAGCAGGTGGGCATCAGGTTGGTTAGCTCAGTATAATCTCATATATACATTCAAAGGTCGACAGCATGTGAAGGGGAAAAGCTAGCCTAGGAGTCAGGATTGGGGAGCGTTGTAATGCAGTGGACCATTTTTATTGTGCCCTGTCTCTCTTCCTGGCTAGACTAATAATGGGAGACAGAGAAGATGTGGGCTTTTGCCTTAGGACACTTCCATCAGGTAGTAAGTGTGGGGAAGAGACGATTAATTCACATACACTTAATCCAAGAATGGGAAGCTGTGATTCGTTGGGATTGGCCAAGATGTGGAAGAAGAATGCTTTAAATAGTATTACTTATAATTTATCCCAGAGTGTGATGCAGTACAACTGCAATCTTGTAAGAAAATCAAAATTCTTTTTCTGACATTCCCTACATTGGAAAGTAATTCCAGAGCATACTGAAACATGACCCTAGAAAAATGCTGAAGGAAGAAACAGAGTCTAGACTCAACTTTGCCTCTGATGAGGTTATAGCCTTGGATAAGTCCCTAGACTTATTTTTTAATCAAAGATTGGACTAGGCAATACTTAAGCTCCAATCCATATCTTGTATTCCATAATTTGATGATTCTAATGACTATTAGTTGTTTCTGATATTTCATTCAAATTAGATGTTCACCTCTTTCTTCACTGGAATTCATTATGAAAAATGATTGATTATTAAAATTTATTGATTGACATGATGAATTCAAATAGCTGGCAATTTGTCTTTGGCGAGAAATAAAGGTTTAATTTTATGATTATGATTTAATAGCTCTTCTGTCCTAAAAGGATACCTTCCACCATTCCTATGCTGGTTTCATATCATGCTCTGAGGTTAGTCCTATGCAACAGCCCGCAAGTTACAAGTAATGAGCAGTGCTAAACAATTGCCTATAGGACCAGGAGGTCAGCTTTGACTCCGAGTTTTGCCGCACAGCAAGAGCATCTGAATTTGTTTGTTTCTTCATCCACACAAATGACTCAGCTTGCTTAGTTAAAAAAAAAATCCAAAGCACAATATTGTTTTCACCTCAAATAATGAAAGACTTGTTCTCTGCTTACTATAACTATTGTATTGATATTTTAAACTAAACTTGTCAAGCACCGGTAGTTAAGGCTGAGGCAGGGAGGTGCAGAGTTTGATCTATTATTATAGAGAAGTGGATGATTTCTGTTGAAGAAAGCCAGCCAGTGTTGGGTGGAGGGGAGGTTTGGGGCTACCTGGAGATGCATAGAATTATCGACAACTAAGAAAGACAAGCTCTTAGTGTTGTGTGTGGGTTTGCAACATATAATGATTATTAGGCACTCCACAAGCAAAGTCATCTTTAATCCATAGATCTCCAAGCATCTTAAACACATTGATTTATTAAATGTGGCCTCTGTAATAGTAATGTCTTCAAAATTAAATCACTTAACCTCTTGATTCAATATTGTTACTGTTATCTGCTACTACATCTACATGACACTGAAACAGAAGTAAAGGCAGTCAATTTGTTAAGAAAAAATAAGTCAAACTTGTTAACTGCATTGTGTCAAATTAGTTAATTGGCATTGTGTCCATCAAACAATGAGCTTCCTGGCTGAATTATTCTTTTCTCAGCTGATTGATTTGACATGACACAGAGTCTGCCTGTAAGGGTTTCATTGTAATCTTTGTTTTGTTTTTGTAAATTTTCTGGAACTGGGACAGACTCTTTTCTTTGTGTTATCTATATTTTACAATAATTAATAAAAATGGCCTTTTATACATCAAGGATGATGATAATTAGTGCTGAAAGAGGTGGGTATTATAATTCATTCGTTAAAATTCTAGACTGCATTTAAGGTCTCAGAAGTCTAAATGGTAAAAGAGGTAATGCTCCTTAACCTAGCATTTTATTTTGTAATTTAAGTGAAATTTACATTTGAATAAAGCAATCATAAACTTTCAAACAAACTCTCAACATCAAGTTTTTTTAGAAGGCGCTACAATTTCCCAACAGACCTAAGAAACTTCTCTTATTAAGCTGCAGTTGAAATGATTGCATAAAAATTAAGGCCATACCACATTTCTAATTTTTTCCATCAGCAATAGTCCTTGTATGTATGTGTTGCAGTTGAAATGACTGCATAAAAATTAAGGCCATACCACATTTCTAAATTTTTCCATCAGCAATAGTCCTTGTATATGTATATATATACACACACACACAATTTTAATGAACCTATGAAATCTTAATAGAAACAAAAAATAATCTGTGGCAATTGATCTTTGGGTAGAATGGTATCCTCTAGAAAGAATTTATTTTTTATCAAGTAAAAGCATAAATAACATATCCTGGGCTTTTCTTAAGGTTCTAGGAGCCCCAGGATGAAATTCTTTGCATTAAATTAATATTAATATAACTAATATTTAATGAGGAGGGGCTTTGATATTGCCACCATCAAGGATCCTTCTAACTGAAGCTGTGAGCATATGCTATGTATCACGAGCTGACAGCCTTGAAAGAAAAAACTTGCTAAAACTTGCTTAATAGAACTAAAATGGACCCCAGGTGGCATACAATTGTATATATTCCGTTTTAGATCAGGAAACTCAGATCTATAGAAATTGTGATTTGTAGATCTTATTATACTGCGATCATCAACAGTTTGTTATTTAAAACCTTCCTACACCCATCTTTGATCTGAAGTACCTTAATATAAGTGTGACTATAAAGTGAGGATAAAGTACAAACTATGATCACAAAATAAAGAGAAATGATCACATAATAATAGTGATGTTGCTAATGGTGGTGATGATGATAATGATAATTTATATTTAAGGAGAGTCTGCTCTATGTAGTACAGCATAGTGCTTAAATATGTAAATCTTAGAGTCAAGCTACCTTAGTTCAAATCTTGGGTTTACCATGGCCTAAGTGGGAGTCAAATGTTTTGCCTGTAAAAGGGGCCTAGACAAAGTACATACTAATTTAATTGTTCAGAGGATTAAATAACATAATGCATAGATAGCTTTAGAAGAGTGTCTTATATATAGAACACACAATGAAACATTAATATTTATTTTTGTACCAAGACTGTCAATTACTCAACAAAGTGGGTATTGTTATTCTCATTTTACAGTTAAGGAAACCGAGTCTCAGCGAGTTTAGGTAGCTTGACCAAGGGCAAAGAGCAAGAAAGGGATGATGTGATTGTTATCCCAAACAGTAAAGTATGGCAATTATAGAGATCCTTATAAATGCAATGTTAGCATCTCTAATGTAATTATTGAGGCATTGGTGACAATATTTCTTAGGGCCCTTCTAAGAAATATAGTGAGGGATGGACGAATAGAATGCATGGATTAATCCAACATCCCTATTCTGTTAAACCTTTGGATTCTTTTCTGTACATTACAATGCAGGCTAATTGTAAGCTAATACTGAGTCCATGTTTCAATCTATCAACCCAGAAAACCATGAGAACCGTGGCCATCTGTTCATGCTAACACCTTGAATTCAAAATCTCTGGTATGTGTATCATTATTGGTGGAATTAGACAAATTCTAACATAGCACTCTTGGAATCTGTGTGTGTGCGTGTGTGTGTTATATATATATATATATATATATATATATATATATATATATATATATATAGCCTATGATTTTTAAAACATATGATGTGTTTGTGTGTTTTAAATTTTAAGTGTTTTAACATGTTGAAGTCTATCTTATGCATATGCTAGCTCTTTCTGGGTGGGTCTTTGAAGACATTTCCTAAAGTTATTTCTGATTCTAGTCAAGGGTCTAGAGGCAAAGCTGGGCACTAAGGTTGGATGTTGAAAAATATTTCCACCCCCTTCAAAGAGCTCTGTCTCAAATTATGTCATTATAGGTATTCAAGGAAGGGGTAGGTTGTCTTAGATGGCGGATGCAGGGGGGCTGCTGTTGCCAGTAAAGGAAGTTCAATGAGATTTAGAGAGGCAAGACACTCACAGTCATTTGCGTCTACCCAAATATTCCCAGTACAATTCCCAGAGTTCCACATTTTGCCAAACAGTGACCTAGCTTTCATATGAGACCTGGTGTGTCTATAAATCTAATTCATTATTTAACCTGAAGAATTCGATGTCGGCTCTATTTTTCAGATATATCAGCCCTCGCTGTAAAAAGGAATACTCCTTTAGGGTAATCACAGAAGTTCTATGGTTTTCTGACAACATCTTGAGCTGAAAATTGAAATCTCTGTTCTTGACATGCTCTTCCTGAAAGCTCTCCAATGCCGTTAGAATCAGCCATACCGCTTTTCTGTGAATGCATCACAGTCTACATATTATTGCATTGCAGAAGCTTCTTGATCTACTTAATTTAAGGCTGCTACAATATAATTAAAATAGTTGTTTGACATTGAATGCCTTGGAACATTAGTTTCTCATTTTCTGCCCTACAATGTTATGGGCACCTCTTTCCCCTCTAACTATTAAAGATGGACTCCCTTTTATCACCACTTTTGAAGGTCTTTTTTCCCTGAATTATTTCTGACAGCAAATATAATGTTCCTGTGTGATCAGAACAAAACTGTAAACATCTCTAGGTATTCCAAAGCAGGTGGAAGATAATAGAGATAATTAGGTGCTATAGATCCATTGGTAAGACTGAATAATCTAAGTTTGGGGAAACTGTCAATATCTCATTTTTGCTACCAAATTTTATTTTTATTCAGAGAGTCAAGAAAGTGCAGAGGCCATGGGAATGATCACTACAGTTTGCAGCCTAGAATCCGGTGATTTCCTAGGAACTATTAATAGGTTCCTGCAGGATTTTTTTGCAAAATTTGAATCCATCGAACTGCATATTGTTGTTACAGTAACAAAACCATCACTTCTGTCTGCCCTTTACTTTTCAATCTAATTTATGTGACTTCCATAGTAGATGATAAGCCAAACACCTGCCAGCAAAGTATTGTGGGAATTGTAGTTCCCAGGTTTCCAGTCATCATGACATGGTGAACAAAGTGTCGTTTTTTGAGTTGCTGACAGACAACCTCAAATAGGGAGATTTTATATCTTTTAATACAGGTGAAATTGCAAACGAAGACAATGAAATGTTAAAGCTTTGAACCCTTGTAAGCCAAAAAAAAAGGGGGGAATTCCAGTTGTAATTAACTTAAGGTTTGATCCTGGGACTCAAGTAATGTGATGAGGACCTCTCTTGGCTCTGTCTTCTGCTAGATGGCCTTCATTCTGAGGCTTTCTGTAGTGGCCCCAATAGCTCCAGGTCACATTATCCTAAATAGTCTCAGAATCAGCAAAAATAGAACATGCATCTATTGCAATAGTTCCGGCCAAATTCACAGTCAATCTCAGTGGCTTTAATTGGGTCATTAGCCTCTTTCTATACTATTCAATTTTACCAGGGTAATGCAATATTCTAGATTGTCAAACCTTTCCAGTATTCCCCCTTACCTCTCAAATATTGGGAGATAAGGAGAGTGACAGTCAAAACACCTTCAACAAAAGTATGAAGTGAAGGTGAAGGGTCCAGGGAGATGCTATCTTATAGCATCTTATTACAAAGGTAGAACCGGATATAAACTAGGAAGGAACAATAATGGATTCCAGTAACGGCTCCTTGGATGGAGTGAAAGAGAGCAAAACTTACCTCTTTTGCTCTTGCTTTTCCTTATGGCTATTTGACACTCCTTGAATTTTTGTCAATCATATATTTTAAAGGGGTAACTACCATCTTCTTAGAGCAGAAGAAACCCATCCACTTGAGAGACAGATTAACATAGATAAGAATCCTGCATAAATTCCTACCATAAAGGGGATATTGATCATTTTTCAATAATATGATGTTCTTCTTTGAAAATATCCATCACTTCCCCCTCATCCTTAAGTATTTTTTCCCTGATTTGGGAATGAAATCACAAGGAAGTGGGTTGAAACACCATCTTCCCAGTCAAATTGCCCGAGATGCATGGCACCTGCCACTATGTGACTCTGAAAAAAATACTCCATTTCTGTCAAATAAAGGTAAAAATTACATTACCCACATGGATTATAAGTGGGATAAGTTATATCAATCATATAGTCTTTAACTCTTAATACATTGCCTGGCAATTGATAGATGCTCAGTAATGATTAGCTGTTGCTATTGTAACTCTTCATCAGCAACATCACACACAGCTATCTCTGTGATTATTGTAAGAGCATTTAACTAATGTAGTATAAAGATTCAGTAAACAGGTTGGTTAATTGAAGCCCCTCTTCTTGTAGTAATAGAGTCCTAACTCCCCTCAGGCTAAGAAATTTCCTTGTCTGATTGATCACTCTAATTTGATACCATTTCCCCCTTTTATTTTCTTCTGAAATCATAGGAAAGAAAGTCCTTTTTAACTGGTTTTCTGAAGATATAATCATGAAATAACTGCTACATGTACACATAATCACACTTAATTTCTCACGACGCTATGAGGCAGATACTTCAAGTACCTCTGTTTTCAAGTAGATAAATTTTGAACAACGAGAACTGGGTAGCAGGCCCAAGGTCACAGTTATTTGCAGTTGCAACTTCAGAGTCTCAATTCCTACCTGCTACGTGATATAACTTCTCAGGGAACTGGTAGGATTACATTTCCAGACTCCTACCATTAAATCTCATTTTCTCCCAGAACCCAGAAACCTAGAACTAACTTTCTGTCTCTCGGCCACTTCCAAAACTTTTCCTAGTCTCATCCTTAACTTTGTAGACCGTTCTCAAATCTGGGAAGTTGATCTGTTTCTTCTTCTTCCAATCCTTCAAATTTTCTTGTTTTATTAGATTCCCTGTCCATTCTTCTCCCAGCCAAAGACTATGATCACTACAGTCTTACTCTTATCTGTTTCCATTGTCCTCAAACATAACTTCTGTTTACCACACAAAGTGGCAACTATTAACACAATTAAGAACTATTCGTCACTTAGAAGAAATTGCTCTTTTATCGGACTTCTCTGTACATTTTAAAGAAATGGCTGAGAGTTGCATGTTACTATTATCTGTATGAGACATAGTCAGAACTTAAAAGTAGTAAAATAAAAAAATTTTGAAAATTGTATTTCATAACTCAGTCTTGTCAATTAATTTAGATAGGCTTTTTCCCAATTAACTGAGTCATACTTAACTCTCTCAAGAGGTATTTATACACACACACACACACACACACACACACACACACACACACAAACGAACAGATTCCATAGAGATACAATTGCAATTGCTTCTCATGTTTTTATCTTTCTTCTGGCTACATGCCCCATCCTTCCATTTGAAAACTGTGAAACTGCAACAACAGATCTTCTGTAGCTAGGCAATGTTGATTTCATTCAACAAATTAATTGGGAAAAGTCACCAACAATAAAGAAAATGGTACCCAATTATTTATGAAAGTTATTTCTCAAAAGCTATGTATTTTTTCTTCTTTAGCTACCTCTAGAATTTCCTCCCAAAGGATGTACCTCAAATTAGTCAGCCCCAAAGGGTTAATACAAGCCTCCTCAAGCCACTCCTTTACCTGGCAAATTATATCACTCTTCAGCATGTGTCACTTGCACAACTTTTCAGCTCCTTCCCTCCTAAGGTAATAGGCCCAGAAGCTGGATGCTGCTGTGCTTCGGCACCTGTCATTTTGACATTTCATGCTTTCTTTAGAAAAGAGAAGTTGGTAGAATGTGAGAAAAGTAGAACTTTGACAGGTTGTCAGAATATCTTGCAGCACAAACCAACCTGCCAGCCAGCCTGTTTTCTGGTATATTTCAAAGTCTCCTAGCAAACGAACTGCAGTACTGACTGAAGAACTTCTTAAGTAGGAAGATTCCTTACTTTCTTCAAGATTGAAATTCAATAATTTTCACCTGAAATTGGTTTACATTTTAGGTGGCTTACTTAAAGTTGCATATCTAATAAAATATAACTTGGTAAGCCCAAATTGATAGAAATATCTTAACTAATTGATTGTTTTTTCTTTCATTTAATCATAATGCTTTTTGATTCAGGGTGGACATCTGTGAGTACAGAACAGTTTCACAAAATGACCTTGAGTTTGCAACAATGAATAGTGTCTGATTCAAAAGTAAAAGGTGTTAGCATGCAGACAGTGGCAAGAGAGCAGGGAAAAATAGTCCAGGAGCCATGACTTTAAGAATACTATCAAGAAATGGAATAAGATCGTAAGATAGCTGTGATAGGCTATGGGAAATGGTCATCTGGACAAACGACCTGTATAAAATGTGCTGGTGAGAGCAAGATCTCTGACCAGCTCCTCTTCAATGGTGAATATATTTCTAAATACACACTGCAGCAGAAGGAAAAACAAAGAATATAGTACAATGGATGCAAAATATTGATTGGAAAAGTATCGTATTTCTTTTCTCTATACTTGATACTGAAATGAGCAAAAAGGAAAGAAGAAAATTTTATGTAACTCTCCTAGGATTCCTAGTACCATATTTTCGGAGGCAAGTCTAACTCTCCTAACTTTACTTATTTTAAATCCCCCTCCCTGTCATGAGTTAGTAACTATAAATAAGCATGTAGTTCATTCTAGTATGATGTATATGCCTTTTATGTATACTTTTAAAACAGCACTTTAAAAAGGAGAAAGTATTTGGTTTTGTTTAATTGAGATTTTATGCCCTTGGAGGAATAATTGCCAACAGTTAATGTTCATCTAACTTTTGTAATAAACCTTTAACCCATAACTATTTTTTGATGACACACGTTGCAAAAATCATTGCATTATATTTCATATAGTTTCCATATGTATGACACAATGCACTCCTCTAGGTTTTATATCTCCTTTTCTACCCAAGACAAGGTTTAAGTGGCATAATAGCCTGCTCCCCATAGTCTGGCTTTTAAGGGACCCTTCTGGAAACCTAACTGTTACTGTCTAAATGGCCATGTTCAACACTGTGTGACTTTCCCAACACAATTGTCTAGAAAAAAGTGCTGGTTACTTGCCTCAGCCTAAACCATTCAATCCAAAGGCTAGCCAAAGATGTTAATACAAAAAAAAAAAAAAAAAAAAAGAAGCGTAATTGTAAAAAGGCCTTGAGTTGGAGTGGGCGCCATGCAAACCAAAACCAAATTTGTATGTGAAAGAGTGATAATGGCATAAGAGCTAAGGCAATTGACAATTGACGGGGAGCTAGTTAGTTGGCAAATAGAAGGGTAGATGAAAGAAGAGATGCGTGGACAAAAAGTCTGCTCTCCAGGTCTGACAAATTTTAAGACACATTTATTCTTACAGCACATTTTTCCTGAAGCAACAAAACTGGATCTGTTTCTTAATATGAATAAACTCTTAATGATAATAGAAATCTAAGCAAATTTGAGCCTATTCATAAGTATCATCACCCTTTCCGTTTGAAGATTATGTTTCTGAAGATTCTGCTGTTCATGTGATGGCAAAATCTGGCACATTCCCTAAGTCTTTTCAGTCCTGTTTATATGTGTTAACCTTCTACCTGGACAGCCATTTTTCTTATTTCTTTTTTATTTTTGCATTAGCTATCGATTTTGCAGTTGGTCTGTTTAGGTTGGTGGTTATGCACTGTATTTTCTTTGTTAGGATAATTCATTCTGTCTCTTGTATCTATATAATTTTTCTTTTGTTTGTTACTTTTTTTCCTTAATGAGCCATATATACATCGAAAAAAAAACAAAAACAAAAACCTAGGCTATGATTCGCAGAACCCAGATTCTCAACCCTCTTACAAGTACGGAACTTGGGAAAAATCACTTCACTTTTCTGTGTGCTAGTTTTTCATCTATAAAACTGTAATAATATTACAGACTCAAAATTTTTATAAAATTTAAATGAAATTGTATTCATGAAACTTCCTAGCACAATACCTCAAATCTTGCAGATGTCTAATAAAAAGTCAGAAATTTAAATTTGAGAGATTTTAATCACTCTTTGAGGTGAATCCTCAGGGAAACTTTATTCCTCGTATTTCTGAGGGTATGCTGTGAACAAATATTAATTGAGCACCAATAATGAATTATTTACACTCATTTTTACTTTTAAATTCTCCTGTTAAGTTGCTGTCTCTTAAAAAGTGCTATTTCATAAGTGATGTTAATTAACTTACATTAAGCACTTCCTATGTGCTAGAAGCTCTAAAAATAAGGAGCTTTGCAAATATGGAAACTTGAGCAATGAATATTTCAGCAACTGACCCCACTGTGAGTAAATGGGAGGATCAAGATTCAAATTCTGGTGGGTTTGATTCAAGAACCTGCAACTCCACCTAGTCAGTTCTTTGCCTCTTTGTTATGCCACTCTGTATTTTACCCTTCCCCTACTCTCCAAACCGAGTCTTACTTTCCAAGTTGTTTGTTTTCCGGCAGGTACAATCCTATGTTTCATGTTATTTGGTGTTTTATGCATCTCTCTTTAAATAGACTCTGTAGAACTGGAGGGGAGGAGTTATATTTTGAATATGTACCTAATTCAGTAGTATACCAGTATCAAGGAATGTGACATATGCCTGGAATTATACATCAGTAGATATTTCTGGAGCATGTTGTTCTTAGAGGAGTAATGTGGTATAAGGTAGGAAAGTGTGATAAGGCCAATCAGGGAGAATGTTAAAGACGTCAAAGAAGCTCATTTTAGTAGAGTTTTAAATGTCCCTGCTCTATGTTTATTGTATTGTTGGGATAATAGGGTTGGAAAGTAAATGACTGCCTTGCTGCAGCAATTGGTATCCTGTTTTGTCTCTGTAGTCTATCTCCACCCCCTGCTCCATTTCAGCCAGATGTGTATTTAGAGTCTTCCCAAGTCCTCTATAGCCTTGTCTCTGCTATTTGTCTCTATATATTCAGTAAATTTCTATGTCCCAAGTGGCTGTGTATGTGTGCATCAATGTGGGGTTCTTAGAGCAGAGTGAGGCTTAGATCATCTGAACCAACTATAAAAACAAGGCTTGGAAATTACACATGGCCCAAAACCAGGTAAAATGTAGGCAATTGTGATGTCTGGAGGTTTAGTCTGGTGTGTGAAAACTGGCAATGAATTTTTTCAGTTTTTATCTCCATTGTGACACAGAAAGATTAGTAGGCCATGTAGAACCACTTAATCTGGTTCCACCAATAAAGAAAAGGAAAGTAGTCTTTAGTGAATAAGAGCGAATGTAAGTTAGATAGTACAGCAGGGTCTCCAGCTACCTTAGAGGTTCAGAGAAGGGCAATGTTTGGGAAAGGATCTTAGAGAAGAGTAATCAGGTGAAACTACAGAGTTACAGAGTCAAGGCAAGTGGACAAGAGCAATTCTGGAGTCTAATACAATATAGGATGCATTACTCATATGGGGCAACAAGAATGGAGGGGATAATATATGAGAAATAGATGCTTTGTAAAGAAGGGATATGAGATCACGCCTGTAATCCCAGCACTTTGGGAGGCCGAGGTGGGTGGATCACGAGGTCAGGAAATCGAGACCATCCTGGCTAACACGGTGAAACCCCGTCTCTACTAACAATAAGAAAATTAGCCAGGCCTGTTGGCGGGCGCCTGTAGTCCCAGCTACTCGGGGGCCTGAGGCAGGAGAATGGCGTGAACCCGGGAGGCGGAGCTTGCAGTGAGCCGAGATCGCGCCACTGCACTCCAGCCTGGGCGACAGAGTGAGACTCCGTCTCAAAAAAAAAAAAAGAAGAGGTATGAGAAGAAGAGTCATCCAGGAATCCATAGGAAGTCTCCTTTTAATGGATCCTAGGTCTAGAATACATGGCAATCTCATGTTTCTTAAAAGAGTGGGGTTATGAAAATACTTACATAATTCCTGCTTCTGAGAGGGTGAATAACTCCTCATTCAGATGGGATCACCAGTGATGTAGCTTTGAGAATGTGAGGTACACAAATTCAAAAGAAAGTAGCATGACAGCCCACGTGGGAAAATCCAACTTGAGCTCCAAAAACATCTTGCAACCTCTAACATAGCTTTTATTAGAGGTAAACTTGGCTTTCTTTTCAGGTATTTATTTTTATTTTCATGAATCAAGCTGATAAAATCGTGAACAATTGTTTATTAAATATTTCCAGCTACAAAATGCAGCTTTGGAAAAACTGCATATCTGTATTCTGCCATATCCTATGCCCATTATTAAATAAGATAATGAACTAGATTACAGATTTGTCCAAAAGACTGGACACATGACCGATAGATAGATTCAAAATATTTTGAAGGGATTGAAATAATTATCAAATCAATTTTAACTTCACGATTCTATTATCACAGCATTGAAAAGGTGAAGATTCTGATTTGATATCCCAGTCCTGCAAGCCATCACCCTCCTCACCACACCAAGCACAAGCCTGATAGGCCCTTCCACTTGTTACTTCATTTCCACAGGATCTATAACTCCCACCTATTCTTTCTCTCTTTCTTCTGAGACAAATGGTAGATCTTTGACTTAGTTTAAGAGTCACTTTGGCCAAATCGTACAAAATCTTTTACTTTCATTTAAAATCTTTGTATCTCATTGTGGCTATTTGCTCCAGCACAAAAAGTAAAACAAACAAACAAAAACCCATCTATTTCCCAAACTTTCTTTGGCT
This sequence comes from Homo sapiens, assembly GCF_000001405.40. Lineage (NCBI taxonomy): Eukaryota > Metazoa > Chordata > Mammalia > Primates > Hominidae > Homo > Homo sapiens. The sequence goes on from NC_000005.10 coordinate 165,647,480, forward strand.
CTTTAGTCCTTCCTAGCAACACATCTTTCATCCATATTTTCTCATTGTATGAAGCTTACTTGTTCCTATTCCTGTATTTTCCAGGAGGAAGAGAGCAGGGATGGGAGGTGATCTTTTGGGAATCATTCTGTTATACCTAAAGAAAGACTTGCCAAATAAATTCTTTTCTCAGAAAACTGCAGTCCTCAAATCAATTATCACCTTCTCAGACCTCCTAGATGATTTTACCCTGTATTATAATTATTATATTTGTCTTTCAAACTAACTTTGAACTTCTGAAGAGTTCAAAGCTAGTTTTATATATATATATATATACGTACACACACACACACATATGACTAGCTCTCACTATATATAGAATTAATATATATAAATATATATTAATATACTACAATATATTATTAATATTTTATCACTTGACACCATATTTGGCACCATGATGAGCACCCAACTAAATCTAATAGAATGAATGAATTGTGTTTTGGCCTAAAGGGCTTATTCAGTTCCTGTGTGGCCTTCTGTTGCTGACTCAAGGAGATGCTGAGATATTTCTGGATGTTGTCTCTACTTCTTTCAAATCTTGTTCCTTGTATCCCTGGTTTCACCTCTTTATCATCGTCATTCTAGCTCACCTCCTTCTGCCTTCATCCAATCTGTCAATTTTATCTAGACTCCAATAGGCAGAAAGAATTTGTTCTATCAGGACTGATACTTCTCTTTGTCATTTTGCCTTTCATGTAAACGTCTGCTTTTGGAACTCAGAAGTCAAAACTTTGACTCCTCATTTCTTTGGGTTCATTGCCTGGTAATGGGTTCCAGTTGGTGAATTTCTTAGAAAGGAACAGGTCTCTAGGTGCCAGGGAATGGAGAGTATAGGAAGGGAGGTGAGGGATAAAAATACATATGAAACCACTATATCATGATTGAATGAATGAAAATTTTCTACAATTATAAAAATAAGAATGTATATTACACTGTTAAAGGGTTTATTTACATAAAGTCTTTGAAAATGTATTAGATATTGTGGCTAAATAAATTATCCAGACTTCAGTTTCGAATCTCCATCCAAGTTCATTGCAAAGTTTGGTAATCTATAAAAGAAAAAAAATAAAAGATTCAGCCGTCTGGTGACTGTGCCTGGGTTTCCTGCCCTTCATTTGTTCATAGTGTCCTTTTCCACATCTTTCGGTGCCTTCAACTGGGTTATCTTCAGGGCAGGGAGCCCTCAGTGGTGGAATTTCTCCTGGTATCAGAGCTTGACTACAGACCTCCTATAGGAGAGATCAAGCTACCTTTCACCTGCGAAATGTGTTTGTTCCAGTCTGTGAGGGCTGAAGTCTCTGTGATGGGGACATCATTAAAAAGCACAGGGAAGTTAGAGTCAACTTTGGAGGCACTCATAGTAAGTCAAAATAGTTTTCTGTTAATAAAGTTCATTTTATTCTGAAGGATTCTAGTGACCAAGCAAACGGCATGGACTTAGCAACAGTAAAATGTTGGTATCTGAAGTAGTCCACCCTACCACATTAGGGAAGGAGGAAATTTAGGCCAAGGACACAGGGTGGCCCCTATTCCTCTATAGTGCTATGTAGTCTTTAATGTTCATACAGAATTTGCTTTCTAAGGCATTATCTGAAAGACACACACATTCTAAACTGTGCAACATTCAATTTATCTACCTTGGAAGGATGAATGGTCGAGTGAGTCCTGCTGAGATCTGAGCCTCTGCATCCAGGGTTCTAAGTGTTTGAACCAGCTGCTGAGCTCACTAAGCCATCTCCACCTTCCAACAGGACAGCTTCTCTGCAAAGGAGTTTAACTTCACCAATGATTTTCCCTTCCACCCATGTAATTTTCCAGAAATTAAGCAGTAGTCACAAGAAAAACATAAGTAAGATAACCACCTCAGAATTTTCTGTAGATCAAAGTACTATTAAAATGTGTGTGCTACTTGCAGAAACATGACAGAGGCCATGGAAGGGAGCTCAGGACTAAGTTAACGCCACTGATTTTATTTACAGATGAGGGGATGGAGGCTCAGGTTATTTGTCAATGCCCAAATGGAAGTCTTGTTGATTCTACCTCAAAACGCACCCAAATCTGTCCACTTTTCTCCATTTCTATTGCCCGCAGCATAATGCAAGCCACAAAGGTTATCTCAGTAAATTAAATTTCCTTGATTGTTTGCCTCCTCTTTTTCAAACCTCATGATTTTTTTTTTCTATTTCGTTTAGAATAAAATCCAGATTCCTTTACATGCCCTCCCAGCTCCTATGTCACCTGTTCCCAGCCTGTTTTTCTGACTGTATCTTCTGTTGCCCTCTCTACCCATTCTAATTGAACCACCACCTGTTTCTCATGTGTCTCAAACTCACTAAGCTTGTCTCCACTGCAAGGCCCAATCACTAGTGAATCCTTCTTTCTAGAAAATGCTCATCCCAATACTAAAAGACTTACAGTTTCTTCTCATCAAGTTCAGGTTCAATTCTTGCCTCCTCCAAGGACCCTTTCCTAACTGTCCTATTGAATGCTATCTCTTCCCATTTCCTGTTAATTTTATCACACAATCTTGTTTGTTTGCTTGTTACTATTGGTCCTCTCTGGATATATTTTGTTTTCTTGCTTAGTGTCAGCCTTACTCATTAATATAAAATTTTCATATAAAGAGAAACTCCACCTTTCTCATTCAGCGCTATATACAAAAAATTGTATGCAATACAATTTTTCACTATGAATTTTTAGTGAACAAAAAAAGTTAAAAAAAACTTGTATACTTAACAGTGCTCTGGATGTTTACTTGTATGTGTGTATGAATGTATGTGTGTTTTGTAAAAACAAACATACAGAGAACATATTAAAAAACCACATCAACATTTTGATCTACATTTGGAGTAATTATTTTCTGTCCCTGTATTGATTTAATTTTCAACAGTAAGAATATATTACTTCTGCTGTGAAAAGTTCTTTTAGGTTTAAAAAGTTATTTTAAGCATAATCAAATTGGCTTTGAGCAAGTCACAGTGTTCATGGGATTATGCAATGGTTTTGCCAAAACGCTTAAGGTATAATAGTCTCTTCACCTGTTTGGTCGCTTACCATGCATTTCAGGAAAAAAACTTTCTTCAAGAGATGGAGAGCATGATTAACATGACTGCTAAAAGTCTCCAGATTTACATTTTCCTACTTAAAATGGAAATTGAAACTAAAATTGAGATGAAAAGGGAAATCTTTTCTTTATTAACTGCAAGACCCCTGCAAATCTGGAAATGGGTCTGGTTGGGCAGGCCTGGGTTGTGTATCCATCTCCGAGTAAATCATGGTACCCTTTTCAGGGCCACATGCCCATCTCTAGGTGAGGGCTGCTGTGTATATTACCAGAAACAAAAGAAAAACTATAGCCAACAAATCTGTAACTAACTTAAACTACTTCTATAATTTTTTAGTCACTTTGTATAAAGAGATTCCCTGGGGTTGCTTTTGTTTTCCAACAAGGATAGAAATTAGAAAAATCGGTTATGTCTCCTGGAGTAGAAATTTTCTATAAAATTTGGAGAGGTCCCTAAACTCTCTGAAGGTTCTCCATGGATCCCCTAGGTGGGATTTTATAGGTTCATAAGGTTGAATCTTTAGATCCAACTTAAAAATAGGCACAACATTCAGAGACATGAAAATCAATATATCAACCTTATGATTGATAAGACTAGAAGCCTGAAGCTGAAGGATGTGGCCTAGGTGTGAATTCATATGGGCATGATAATTTTCCCCTGTATTAGACTTAGCTACCCAGCCCTTCACAGGCTGCAACCTCGGGTTCCCTTGTCAGCATGACAGTCTGTCCTGCCAAGGGTCCTCAAAGGTCAGAGACAAATAAGAACATGTGGTCTTTGCATCAAACATCTCTGAAAAGAGAACTCAGAATGGACTGAGACTGTCATGACCAATTTGTACTTCCAGGCAGAAAGTTTACAATCAGAAAAATAATTTCAAGTTTGGTGTGTGTGTTTGTGCGTGCACGCGTGCGTGTGTGTGTGTGTAAGAAATGAAATCAGAAAATTTGCCTTAATGGCAGAGTCCTCATATAGAAATAGAAGGCTAGACTCAAAGGTGTTTGCCTTTTTAATGCCCAACCTCTGTATTCTCAGAGTAGGACTCTCCATTATTGCTATATTTCTGATTATTTTTTCTGTATGCTATTTTGATGTTTAATTTCCATCACATACTATCATCTTTCAAGAACATCTACTGAATTTTGAATCAGAAACTGAAATCAAATCTGTTTGAAATGTTCAAAGCCATCTCCAATGGCACTCTTGGAGCTCCATATAATAAGAAGAACACAGGAGCAATAGCCCTATTAAGCTGATGAAATCATTGATTTCTTCTATGTCTAATGGTCACATTAAAAGCTGAGATTTTAAACAGATATAATACTAAGTAACTCAGTACCTTATCAAATTAACAAAGAGCTTTTTAACCCTATGACCCTTAATAGAACATGTTTATTGGAAAATGGCTGTGAATACAAATACTTTCAAAACATGGTGGCTAAAAGTGTTCTGTGTGGCTAATCAAAATAACATCACTGGCTTGGCTGCATTTTCTGCTTTTCTTGCATAGAAAAGGTAAGAAGATTTATGCAGAAACACCAAGTCAATCAAATGCTTTCTGAGTTGTTCTATTTATCTGTCTAACTTTAAGATGGAAATATGTTTAGAACATTATCCTTGAGCAGTAGTTCCCAAACACTAGTTCACAGTCCTTCTGTATCAAAACTGCTTAGGGTGCTCAAAATACAGACATTTAAATCTGAGGTCAGATATATGGACTCAAAAAGGACACTGGCTTAATTTTAGCAGAACTACAGATGATTTGAATGGACACGCCCATTTGAAAGCCATTACAATAAAATTGGGCTCTAAGTATGAGATTGATAGGGGCTTCCTTTTTCTCCTTTCTGTAGCTTTTTCTCCCTTTGATATGCATTGCCCCCCATCATAGTCATGAAATAGCTGTGCAGGGAAGTCTTTCTAAAGTGATATGGTCTAATCTCCTCATTCCTGAGGGGGAAACTGAGGTTCAGGGAGATAAAAAGATTCTGCTGGCTTGGACCCAGTGTACTTTATGCCCTCTCTGTTTTCCTCTGTCTTGATCCTTTCTTTGGAAATATTCTGGTGAACTCAGTTGCATTGATAGGTATGAACAACAGACAAAAGATAACTTTATTAATGCCAGTAGCATTTAATGTTTTGACACAGTCAATGACATCAGCTAAAGAAAAGACCATATATTTGTAGAATGTTAACATGTGAGAGAAAAGAGGAAGCAGAATAGGAGGAGCATATGTTAAAGGATAAACCCTTAAAATTCAAAGTTCATGTAGCTTATAGTTGTCTGGTCCTCAGATCAATCCGGTTTGCAGGATTTTAAGACTGTCCAAAATATTGTCAGATAGGGTTTAAAAAAAAACAAACCACCTTAGTGCATATTTTTTTTCAGGCTTTTATCAATCTATATGATCTTTTACAAAAATGACATAATGATGCTCATATTGTTTTGTAGCTCTGTTTTGTTTCCATTCAAAAATAAATCATGAGCGTGTTTTAAGTCTATCATGTAGTTTTAAATAGGTTGATAATATAAAAGGTACCATAATACATTTATTAGATCCTCTCTTGTTGCACATTTATTTTTCAATAGTTTGCGCAATAAACAATGCTGTGATATTCTTCTAGCAAAATCCTATCAGATATCCCATGAGAATTTTGTTAAGATATATTTGTAAAAGTGGGAATTACTAGACACATGTCTATATTCTGAATATAGAGAGGATTAGATAAGTAGCATAAACATTCTAAATGGGTGTTTTTTGAAGAACAACAAATTGGCTGGGTGTGGTGGCTCATGCCTGTAATCTCAGCACTGTGGGAGGCCTAGGTGGGCGGATCACCTGAGGTCAGGAGTTTAAGACCAGCCTGGCCAACCTGGTGAAATCCTGTTCCTACTAAAAATACAAAAATTAGCCAGGCATGGTGGCACATACCTGTAATCCCAGCTACCTGAGAGGCTGAGGCAGGAGAATCACTTGAACCTGGGAGGTGGAGTTTGCAGTGAGCCAAGATCGCACCACTGCACTCCAGCCTGGGCGACAGAGCAAGACTCTGTCTCAAATTAAAAAAAAAAAAAAAAAATTAAAAAAAAAAAAAGAACAACAAATTTCAGATAATTTGGTTATTTTAGAACAAAAGATAATAAATTGTAGATATATATTTATGTGGGAAATTTTATTTTGAATAAAAATGAACATGCCGAATGTTTATAAATGACTGATATTTTAAAATTACAGCACTAAAGCAGCAGATTGTACATTAACATTCCAGATTTTTATCTATCTATCTACCAATCATCTATTTAGCAATAATTCTGAAATGGAGTCTACAGAGCAGTAGTGATCTTCAGAAAATAAATACTTAATTTGCAAAAGGCACCTATATAAACTATAGACTCCCTCTTCATGGGTGAATAAATATAAGTCTAGATTAGAGTCTAAAGAACCATACAAAAGATCATTCACCTAATGGCTCCTTCTATAATATTTTTAATGTAATGTTATGTTTAAATTCGAGAACAAAAAAGAAACACAAAACAAAACTGAAGAGGCTAGGCACAGTGGCTTGTGCCCGTAATCCCAGCCCTTTGGGAGGCGGAGGCAGGCGGATCACTTGAGGCCAGGAGTTCAAGACCAGCCTAGCTAACGTGGCAAAATCCCCTTTCTACTAAAAATACAAAAATTAGCCAGGTGTGGAAGCACACACCTGTAATCCCAGCTGTTCGGGAGGCTGAGGCAGGAGAATCACTTGGATCTGGAAGGCAGAGGTTGCAGTGAACTGAGATCATGTCACCGCACTCCAGCCTGGACAATAGAGCGAGACTCCATCTCAAAACAAGCAAACAAACAAACAAACAAAAAACAGAAGGGATAATAAGCATAAAGGTCAGGATGAAAATACCTGAGTGAGATATTTTGTTAGAAGAAATAAAATAATTCTCCATTATCTGAAACAATGATGATTGGAAAGTAAACTGGATTGACTGGCACAGAAGTTGTGATTCCATCTAAATTATCCAAGTAATTTAGTGCAAATGTTTTCTCCAAAAACTATGTGGGTTGCAAATAAATTTTAAAATGGGTATTATTGGTTAAACACTTAAGGAGATTTGTAATTCCCCCAGGGAATCTAAAAACACAGCTGAGATATTGTGCCACAGTCAAAGTCTCAGTGTTATATACTTGGACTTCCTAAAACCCGGACTTTGAAATTAGACACTAAGATGTAAGTAGTGTGCTAGTGTAGAATGGACATTGGATGGAGAATAAGATTTGGTTGCAATCTTGGCTCTGCTGTTCTATTAGCTTAGGGACCTTGGAAAAGTCAGCTGATTTCTCAGGATACAGAGATCTCATTTGAATGGAAATAGTTAATGAACATTTAGTTTATAATTTATGATTGTAACTTAGTTCTTAGCACACAGGTTAGCATGGAATAGGTGCTTGGTAAATATTTTTTTCTGAATCAAAAGGATTTTAGTGAATATTTTCATCTTGGAATATGTAAGAAAGTTTTTTTCTCTCTCTCTTTCATGTATTCTTGAGTTCCCGCCATTTCCCTCAATGCTATATTTGCTCAATAATTTATCAGTTTTGCTGGATGAAATGTAGAGCTGACCACATAAAAATAAAAAGTACTTTTAGAGTGAGCCTGCAGGGTTTTAAAGTCTCACATATGGATCTGTATTCAGGCCGAAACCCAGACACATACAAGATTGGAGTTGGTATAGAATATTAAGGATGAAACTGGGAATGAGAGAAGCTATACAGAGTTTGTTTGAATGCTAATAAATCATGAAATCACTGTTTCCTGTCTACTGGGATTTACTGCATAAGAAGCCTGCAATTCAACAAAGAACGGAGTTCCCTACAGAACTCTTTAGTCTGGCTCTAACCAATACACTCTAGGCTGAATAAAGGCAGAGTAGGTGTTAGGAAAGAAAGCCGAGGAGATTTCAGAAATGGAAAAGATCCCTTGTTCCAAAATCGTACATATGTATAATTGTTATTTTAATACTAATCAGGACTCGGTGGCAGAATTGTGATGGCTCTGTGAACACGACTCCTAACCACACAGCTGGTTGTTCAGTTAATTTACTTCTTTTAAGGGCCCCCCTTGCTCTCATTTGATATTGTTTTCTGTATGCAGCCTCCCTACTGTGTCTCTAGCTAAGTCAATCTACCTCTCTGAATTTAATGTACTCCGACATGGGCATGTTCAGGAGAGGAGAGGCTGTACTCAGACACAGAAAGCAAGCTCCACGTGAGACAGTGCCTTCATTGCTTTCCCCCTGCCGGGAGACTGTGGGAAAACCTCCCCAGAAAGAACTGATGAAGAGAGAAAGCACACAGGCCACCTGGGCGAGATGTAAGAAGAAGTTGAATCCAGAAACAATTCTTCCTGAGCAAACATCTCTAGCTCTGCCTCCTCCCCACACACCCTTGCTGGGGAGTGAAACTAATTTAACAAGATATCCCCATTTCCTCTGAACAGTGGTGAAAATATTCCTACAGGACTTTATTAAGACAGACCCCAAAGTACTCATCAGGCCAGTGAAAGGGAAAAATCCTGCTGTGGCCTTTCTACCCACAACACTACTGCAATTAAAGAAGAAGCCAGTATCAAAGCAGACAGGTAACTGTATAAGCACACCAGGCATCTGCCCATGCCCAAGGCCACATTTTTAAAGGCGAGAGCCATTATTTTTCCAGTGGTACAGGAAAGGAGCTGCAGGACAGGCAGGTTAAATTGAAAAGGCGTTACAAGTACCTTAGGAGGTTAACAGTATCACCTGAAGCCAGATTCCTATCACTTATAGATTCAATATTCTTTTGGAATTTGATGAGGTCCATGGGGATGTTTGCAAAGGGGAAGTGTGATTGGCCCTCTAACTTGGCAGCTATTTGGCATCCCATGCAGAGATTGTAAGAAGTTCTTTATTTTCCATGTGGATCTGGCATTCCTAAAGCAGTAGGTGCTCTGTGCCAATATGAACTCGGATGTTAATCACGGCTTTTTCATTTCAGTAATGGGTTGAGTGGATAGATGACTGAGGAGGATGATGAGGGGGCTTGGTTATTATTAGAAAACACAAAATATGGATCTGATTTCTCATTTTCATTTAAAAAGTGACATTTTGGCAAACATTTTAGATTTGGAAAGCAGCAAAGTTTTGTAAATTAGTGTCCTATATGATTATGGACCAGAAAGGTAATTCTTCCCATGCCTGCTCTTGGACTCTCCAGTTATTCCCCACTCTTCTTTATAATGGTCCTGATGGAAATTCTCCTTAATGCTCATTTGTGGGTTTCATTTTTTAACCCTGATGAGGGTTTGGGATTTAAGACTTTTTGTTTGTTTGTTTGTTTTAGATGGAGTTTTGCTCTTGTTTTAGATGGAGTTTTGCTCTTGTCTCCCAGGCTGGAGTGCAGTGGTGCGACCTCGGCTCACTGCAACCTCCACCTCCCGGGTTCAAGCCATTCTCCTGCCTCAGCCTCCCAAGTAGCTGGGATTACAGGCACCTGCCACCATGCCAGGCGAATTTTTTGATATTTTCAGTAGAGACGGGGCTTCACCATTTTGGGCAGGCTGGTCTTGAACTCCTGACCTCAGGTGATCCACCCGCCTTGGCCTCCCAGAGTTCTGGGATTATAGGTGTGAGCCAACGCACCTGGCCTTAAGACTATTCTTGTTCAAATAGGTTAGTTTCTCACAAACGAAAAGAAAAAGGGGCAGGTCACCTACAGTTCTCTCTGATTTTGGGAAGTGTTAGGACAAAAACTTTCTCTGTTGCTCACAGTTCAATTTCACACTCTAAACAAGGCTATCTTAGTGCTTTGGGGTTCAGCAGATCAGTTTAGACTGTATTTTTCTGTCTTTGTTTCCATTGTTCTTTTATCCAGCTGCAAGACTGCTTTTCTTGTAGCAAAATGTCAAATGGTGGTGAATTTGTTCAATTAGCTTTGCAAATGTATGTTTGACTTCCTAGGAATTTTTCTCCTCCTTTCTTTGTTGCATATTTCTTATATTTCAAAGGGGGACATCAAATAAATCCTTCTTTTGAAAGAAATTAGCATTTTAATTCATAGGTGATAGTCTGCAGTTATGTTTCTGTTTATGTTTTTAATTAAAGGACAAATACACAGGCAATCTTTTTCCATTTGATTCAGTTATTTTGGAGGTGAAGAAAATACTTAAATCCCAGCTGCACTGAAGGTAATATTTTGACGTAAATAACTTTATCCCATAAAGTAGCTTAATCAATGGATTGCATGTGGCCTGCGAACTACAAAACAACTCTTTTCCCATGTTGTTTGCATAAGCCTCTATAATTTTAGTTACAGGACCTGAAAATACATAAACATAAATTAAAAAGGAAAAGAAAAAGATAAATCTTTTAGTCTAACAGGGATTGGAAAGGTATATTTGTTCGCTAATAAGATAAAACCAACAAAGCAATTATTTAAATAGTTGATAGGAATTTGAGATTCTATGTAAAAAAAAAAAAGAAGAGATAGGCTGGGATCAGAGTAATGGAGGTAAAGTAGTGAAATGTTTGATGATATGCATCCCTAGTCACTCTTTTCTCTCGTGGAGTCTTTTTTTATTTAAGTTTTGCCAACCACAAACAATAGTTTATTATCCTCATGAATACCTTAGCAGTCCTCTTAGCTCTTATATCTAAGGCAGGTAAAAAACATTCATCTTTGCCTCCTTTTCTCTTTCCCCAAATGATAAAGAGGTGGATACAGCACATGAAATACAATTAAAGGTCTTCAAAGGGCCACTGGGCTGCTGAAGCTAAGCGCCTCTCATCTGCATCAGAATTCCAGTTTCTTTGAAGTTAATTCAGAGATTATACTTCATGCCTTTAAACAGTCTTTAAATAAGAATGTGTATTATAGCTTTTCAAAAAATCCTCTGGTACATCAGATTGAAATGAAGCTGAGCGTTCCACTAGTTTATGTTTCAACCATGGGGCAGGGGAAGAACTGAAGCTTTTGAGGTTCCTCCCTCTGTTACTTCTCGACAGGATAGTGAACCATCAAAAACAATTCTCTTGTCTTCCCTTTTCCTTTTTTCTCTTCAATAGCCTTCAGTTTTTCTTCAGCTGAAAAAATTATTTTTATTACAACATGGCTTGTAAAGTTATAAAATACACCTGATGTGCGCTAGTCAACTGTCAATTCGTTACATAGCTAATTGACGTAGCTCCAGACATAGCTAATTGACAATTGACTAGTAGCTCCAGGTTTTACATATAAGGTGTCTGTGAGGCTTTGTTAATAAAGGTGTTTTCCCCAGCTTTAGAAGGAAGGTGCTGGTCACAAGTGAGGAGCAAGACTAACCGCTGAAGGTAAATTTATTCAAGCTTAGTAGCATGTCTGGTAACTTTAGTTTGGGAGGACATCAGTTTTCTTGTATAAAGCAGGGTGTTCCCCAAAGTAGGGGGATTGGTGCTCAAAGCAAAAGTATTTGACAAACTAATGCATTGAGCATGCTGGCATGAGCATGAGCAAGCCTTATATGCACTACAGGCAAGGTAGGGAGAGAGTCCCAAAATACTCAACAGAATTTGGAATCGAACAATCTTGTGTATTTCTGTCAAGAAAGCCAATAACCTGTTGAGGAATGTGTGAAAAAACATCATTCTCTGACTAGTAAGTTCAACGTATAACAGCAGGTAAACAGGACTGAAATCTGGGGGCTCAGTTACAAGGTTTTATGGTGACTTCTTCAATTCAGCACTAGAATCTTGTGTGAAGTTACAATTTTTTGTTTTGAAAAGTAATTTAACAACATTAAGATACTCAACATGGGGAAAATATTTTGAATTCTTCCCACTTAGATTTAAAAAGAGTTTTATTTATTTGGAACTAAATACAAGATTGGAGGAGTGATGAGGCCATAATTTTTCATTTCTTGGGGGCTTTACATATTTTCAAGTTTCCTTGTGTGAGATGTTTGTAATTTAATGTGGATATTATTTTAACAAAGTTTGTCACACATAGGAGTTTCAACTTAAGTTTATCGCATTATAAAACGATGGTCTAAGAATGACTAGGTATCCATTTTTATCTTGAAGGGCAAACAATGCCTAAATTAATTAAAGATAATTAACTGTCAAAATTCACACCCAAGAGTGCATTAATTTATCAGCTCAAGCCTTCCCTGCTGATTTCTTACTGTGTCTATAGAGCTGTAAGATGTAATTTTGTTTATTTTCCTTAAACTACTTGGTAACTTCTATAATAAAACAACTGGAGAAACCTCTTATAGAAAACATGATTTTTAAAATTTTAATTTATATCCTCTTTTAATATTTAAGATAATTAGCTATTGATTTAGTAATCGGTAGTCTTTCGTTTTTCCTGTTCTATGGAAATTGAAAATTTCTGCCAGCAATTAAAAGGACACTATTGACCATTAAGACAAATATGGATATTGTCAAGTATTGATATGCTATATGTTTACTTCAGTAAGTATTAATTCTCATTTAGAACATTCAGTTACCAATAGAGTACTAATGACAATAGCAAGTAGGCAAATAAGTAAATATGTATCCAAATATATTTATTGAGGTCCTACTATGTAGCAGGTTCTCACCTGGGTACTGGGAATATAGCAGGTTATAAAACAGGTAAAGTTGTCTGCTCGCCTTGAATATATATTATGGGATAGGGAAACAATAATAAACTATGAATGTAATAAACAAGAAAATCACATGGGATTTTAAGAATCGGTAATTTCTGTGGGGAAAAAAGTGGAGAGAAGAGAATTTGAGAGTTCCAGAGGATGCGGAGAGCCTGGAGGGCCAGTTAGAGTATAAAATACAAAACAGGTGAGGGTAGGCCTCATTGAGTGAATGAGAGATGAGCAAAAAGCTGGAGCAGAGAGGCAGGTAGCCAAGCACAAAGTCCAGGAAAAGAGAGTTCCTGAGAAAGAAAATAGCTCTGCAAAGGCCCTAAAGGGAGAGTGATGGGCATGATCATGGAAAACCAAAGAGGCCAGTGTGGTCCAAGTAGCCTGAGCAAGTAGGGGTATAAATTTGATAGGGCCAGGCTCCTGAACGCAATTTGACTTTTATTTGGAGAGAAATGTAAAGTCTATTGCCAGATCAGACCAAAGAGTGAAATGACTTAAATGTTAAAAACAATAAATTGTGGGTGGGTGGGTAGGGAAGGGAGTAATGGTGGGAGAAAAGGAGGCTATGGAGAATACGGTGTATGGCTGTGGAGAATGAAGTAGGCTTCCTGGTGAAGGTGAAATGTTGTCCAATTCTGCATGTATCTTAAAGTTAGAGACAATGAGGTCTTCTGATAAGTCGGATGTATGGTGTGACAATGAAAGATAAGAGAAGGACCACATGAGCAGCTGAAAGAAGGACACTGTCTCCTGAGATGGGGATGGCTATGAGTAGGAAAGGCTGTGATATAAATAGTAATTTCACTTTGGTATTGATTAATGTCTATGGATAGATAATGCTGGAATTTGGGAGAGAGGTCTAAGCTGGAGACATAAATATAGCAGTAGTGGCCATATTGATGGTATTACAAACCCCAAGAAAATGAATTAGATCACAAGAAAGCAAACGTAGATGGAAAATTCCAAAGACCAAGTCCTGGAGCTCTCCAATGGTAAGAGATCGGCGAGGAAAGAAACAGTAAGCCAAAGGAAGTAATGCCTGAGGGAGAAGGAAAACTGAGATACCTTGGTGTTCTAGGAGACAAATGAGTAAATTCTATTCAGTAGAAGTGAGTGATCATCTATGCCAAATGCTTCGATTTTTGAAATAAGATCAATGTTGTAAATGTAAACGTATGACTGAAAAAAATTAGGCCATAGGAAGGAATGGTCTTTGAAAATGGGATCTAAGAAATGGGGTCTGCATTAGTTTCTAATTGCTGCTATTACAGATTGCCACAAATTTAGTGACTTAAAATGGCATAATTTAATGTATTAGTGTTTTGGAGGTCAGAAATCCAAAGTGAGACTCACTGGACTGAAAGTATCAGCAAGACTGCATTCCTTCCAGAGTCTCTAGGAGAGAACCCATTTTCTTGTCTTTTCCTGATTTTGGAGACCACTTGCATTCATTGGCTTGTGAACCTTCTCCTCTCTCTTCAAAGCCAGGATTGTTAGGTTGGGGCCTTCTTATGCTACTATCTTTTGCTTTCTTCTAGCTCCCTCTTCCTTTTTTAAGGACACATGTAACTATGTTGTGCCCAGCCATACTATCCAGGGAAATCTCTCTATTTTTAAAGTCAACTGATTAGCAATCTTGATTTTATCTGCAAGTTTAATTACTCTTTTCCATGTAACCTAATATATTTATAGGTCCTAGGAATTAGGATGTGGATATTTGGAGGTTAGGTTTTTTTCTGACTACAGCAAGATGATAGTTGGAAGAAAAAGAATCAAGAGAAAAATTTTTTCTTAGTATAATGCAAATAACAGCATGTTTGTGTGCTGGGGGGAGTAATCAAATGGATAAAAGAAAAATCACTGTAGGAGAAAAATGACTTCTTGGAATGAATAGGCCTAAGCAGACAGCATCTGTACATGAGTACAGAAATTTCCTTTAGTAAGGAATATAGCTATTTTATCTATGACAACAGGCAAGAAAGTACAATATAAGGGTGCAGATGCAAGTAGATCAATGAATGTGGTGGTGACAGTCTGGGGAAGTCATCTTCACTTTAATATTATTTGTGAAATACTGAGCAAGGTCACTGGTGGGGAGTGAGGATAGAAGAGGAGATCATAAAGGTTTAAGAAGGAATATAGAAAATAGTGTTAGAGAAGGGGAATGAATGGACTGAGAAAGTATCATATGCTTGCCTGGTGCCATTAAGAAATTTCACTTTGAAATTCCTGGATAGGAATTTTTACTAAAACCAACTGATAACATGGAGCTTTTCTTTAGGCATTTTCAGCTTTAAATTTTACCAGGATGTGGTTTTTGTCAAGCTTGCCAACCTTGGAGAAAGGCAAGGAATAGAAGGGAATACGCAAGGGAGAGGTGATGCTTGACCTTGACCTCTTAACAGGGAAGCTGGGAAGTGAGGTCATCTGGTGGATGAGGGGGCATGAGTAGTTGGTAGAATCAAAAGACTCAAAGCCCCCTGAGGTAGGCAATAAAATAACTTTGAAGTTGAGGAACTACAGGCTAAGACCAAATGTAGACAGACGTATTGAGTCAATGTCATGTGACTGCTTACACTATTTATGGTATGATGTTATATAAGATCCAATAAAAGTGTGTAAATAATATTTCCTAAACATATTAATTTCCTAATTTATCCTTATAAAGTTAGGGTATCTGCTAGGTGATTTCTAGTATGTTTTCAATTGAGCCTCACAAGTATGTATGCAGAAGAACTTGGTGCTATTCTTTATAGAAGACTGATATAATAGGTTCAAACTTGCCCCCCAGGAGCTTGGAAATTCAAAATCCTCAGTTCAATTTCAGTTATCCATCTTTTATACCTCAAAGTGTTTTATATATTTGGGTCTAAAGGAGTGTCTCTTTACCTTGTAACTCCTTGAGCCTTATGATTTCTATTAACTTTTAATATTGACTTGACTTGAGGGATTACTACTTATTTTATCATACATAAAATATGATTTTTTGTTTTCACTCAGGAATTTTATGAGGATAAAGTTAATTAGGAAATTAATATGTTTAGGAAATATTGTTCATACACTTTTATTGGATCTTATATAATGTCATGCCATAAATACAATAGTGTCATTCTGTTGGAAACCAACAAAAATCCATTCAGATAAACTACCTGGAAAAAGACATGTTGAGACATTTGGGGAACAATTCAAAACTTTGGGTAATAAATAACGGTTTTTTTTTGTGTTAGTTTCTTTAAAAGTGAGAATATTTTGGTTTAATTTTTAAGTCTTTCAGAAATACAATAGTAACTACAGGTGAAATTATAAGATATTTGAGTTTTGCTTTGTGCACTTCAGCAAGAAGCTAACAAAGGGCCAGGCATGGGGCTCATGCCTGTAATTCCAGCACTTTGGGAGCCTGAAGTGGGCAAATCACCTAAGGTCAGGAGTTCAAGACCAGCCTGGCCAACATGATGAAAGGCTGTCTCTACTAAAAATATAAAAATTAGATGGGCATAATGGCAGGCGCCTATAATACCAGCTACTCAGGAGACTGAGGCAGGAGAATCACTTGAACTTGAGAAGCGGAAGTTGCAGTGAGCCTAGATCATATCATTGTACTCCAGCCTGGGCGACAGAGCAAGGCTCTACCTTGGTGGGAAAAAAAAAAAAAAAAAAAAAGGCAGCAAACAAAGGTTGCAGTGTGTGTGTGGAGGGGTGCTGGGTGGTGAATGGAGGGATATAAGAAGCCCAAGAGTGGAAAATTAATGTTTGCTGAAATTGGGTGATGTGTACATAGGGGTTCTAATTATTTTATCTATAAATATTTTTAAATTTTTTCATAATCAAAAGCTTAATTCCTAAACTATTTCACATAGACATGTTCATTTTCATTCCCCATCTGCAGGAATGCCCTAATTTTAAAACTTTCTTTCATTGGGAGATGATGCTAGAGGCTGAATGTGGTCAGGAAATTGTTCAGGTGTAAACACCATAGACACCTTCTACTGACTATGGAAAGAATTATTTACTACAGATATAACAATTTTAGATGTCACAACTTCATGAATGCATTTTCTTGTTTTTATTCTGTTTGAAATATTTGAAGAACATCTCCAAGAGTCCCTCCGTCTATCAGTGATTCTCTGTCATTTCAGTGCTAAAACTTAAAAATACATCACCTTTGGAGGAGACGAAGAAATGTATCTCAAGATGGATGCCATCATTTGGGCTGTGATTGATTTTTTAAAATAACAGTCATCACTTTTGGTGCTCCTTTAATTTGATGGTGGATTAGTATTGTTTGACCAGATGATAGTAACTATCAATCTACTTTGCCTCCTGTGACTAAAATGCTTTCTCACCTCTAGTAGGTTGGGGTCAATACTACGCCCACATAATCAGACCCAGTTTACTAAACAATAGTTCCAATTAAAAATTATTTGACTTGGGGAGAAAAAAGAAAACTCATAAATAAGCCTTCTGGGTCAGTATTCCATTTGTTCAAAGTATGAATTCCATGAGCTTGATAGCCAATCATTGTACTTAAAAGCCTGAGAAAGTAGCCTATTGATTTGGAAATTAAACATCTGCCAATAACTTCAAGGTACTTTATGTAACAAAATGATAAAAATATGTTTTAGTCATTTAATTTGAATCACACATCAAGTACATATTACTCATTGTGTAAGTTTTAATCTATTCAATAAAAAATCACAAAAAAATAAATGAGTTCTGTAGGACATTGGTAATTTTTTTAAAAAGCAGGTTTACAAATACATTTATCTCTATTTCTTGTGGGCATGATTTTGAAGGTCAGGAAATATGGCTTACCTAGTGTTACGTTTTATAAATGTAGAATATGTGATCTATACCAATAAATTACTAGAACTCGTTAATATTTTTGTAAACCAACACAATAGTAAACATGTTATTCTCTAACAGTGGCCCATTAAAGTTTAGTACATATTCATCCTTGTAGCTAAGGATATGGTGATCAGGGATGACAAATACTTCTATGAGCAGGAGAGGTACTTTGACTAAAGTCTAAAGATACCCACTAGAATGCGGTGGCAGATAAAATGAGAATTTTGAATGTAGTATTTGTGTTTCTCTATTCTATTTTCATTTTAGGTGATGCATATAAAAATACTAAGTTATATGTAAATCCAAGGAAGTTCTGACTTGCATAATCTCAAAGGACCTGAGAATCTATAGTCATTGAGAAAATAATTGTTGGGTGCATTCGGTTATCTTTTTTGTTTTATTCTCCCATCACTCTGCTATTTCTCCAGTTGGAAGTTATCTATGTATAATTACATCTTGAGTGAAAAATAATTGTAATACTTCTCACTGGTTTTTACAAGTGAGCTTTTTTCTCTAATAAGTAATATTTTTTCATTTCATCTAGCCGCTGGGTATAGCAAGAAGGAAATCAAAGCATGATTTTAAACATTAATAAAGTAGAAAAAAATAAAATTGATAAACATTAAAAGTTGTGAAAGAAACATGAAGATCATTATCCAAATTTAGAAAAGCAAGAATTCTGAAACAACTTTTAATAAGAACAGCAGAAAAGGGAAATATCTTATAATTTTAGAATTCTTTACATATTCTCTCTCCCTGTTTCTCTTACCCTCTTTGTTTCTCTCTTATTCCCACCAAAGGCTTTGTGAATTTCTGATAACCTTTAAATCTAATATTTACTCATCAAATAAAACTTTAATATTTACCATTGCTGGATGAATCAGTAACTTGTCAGTATCTTTGTAATGTTTCTAAAAAATACCTGCGTAGTGCTCACTAATGATAAATGAGAAAACAGAAGAAAGATATTTTTTAGGAGATACTTGGCTAAGATATATACGTTGTCCCAAGTATTCCTAGTGAAGAAACACTGCTTGAAACTGTTCAAAAATCTTTGAAATAAAGCCATTAACTCTAGCTGCATTCAGTGTATCTGTAGACATTGGACCCGGAGTGGAATGGTAGAATTAGCCTTTATTGCTGGTTGACATCCTTCATACTAGAGATACCATCATGGGCCCTTTATCATGGGAAATAGCAACATTCAATGGCAGGTATATTCAGTGCACCTTTGAGGAAAACTGAGCAACTCAGGATTGTGTTGTGGGCCCTGGTCATACTTCATGTGTACAGATGTCTGTCTTCTGAGGAAAATTTAAGCTATGACCCTTTTCATATCTAAAATGAAAGGAACTAAAGGAATTGAAGATTGGCTTACGCAGGGCCAAGTTTGGTTGTATTTGAGAAAAGCATATTGTGTTTCATTTTCTCTCATGAGAAAACTGAAGTTTTAAAAATTAAATACTGCTAAAATTAGCATACTTTAGTGGTTAAGAGTTTAGATCTGGGTGTGAATTATAGAAATGTTTCCTCATTGTTATATGACCTTGGGCAAAATATTGAATCTCTGAGAACTTTTGTTCTCTCATCTTCAAAATGATTATAATGATTATGTAGTGATGATTATAACCAATTCATTGAGTTAGTGTGAGGATTAAGTGAGACAAACTTGTAGAACACAATTCCTAGATCATAGAAATATTAGAAAAATATAAATTACTATTTTTAACTCAAGGAACATCTAATTTTTCAGCCTTCTGGGGTCAGTACTAGTTTTCTTTTCCCTATTGAGTCATTGGAATCATCATGCAGTATGACTTCTACAAATGTGACCTCCTCTTGAGTATTTGGAGGGCCTTGGGGTGGTACTAGAATTGGTATTCTAGCAGGGGAGGTTGTGGAAGCTGCTTGAACATCTTGGGGCCTTGCAGCTCTCTGTATCTCTTGGCCCTCAAATGTATTCACAACTTCTACTCTTCTACTCCAAGGCTAGCTAAGACAAAGCTGACTGTAATTTGAATGATGCCAAAATTTACTCAAGAGTTGAATACACAGGAAGAGGGTAACACAGAAAGGCAAACTTAAATTTGGGTATTAGACATCTTTGCTCTCAAAAAGGTTCTAGCTCACTGCCTCTCTCACCTGACCCTCAGCCTGTCATGAGAGCTTCTCCTCATCAGATAGACAGTAGCTTCTTCCTTCCCCCAAACCCCTATTCCAGCTTCATGAGAAAACCTATGTACATTTGGCCCTTTGCATCTGTGTATTCCACATCCATAGATTCAACCAACTGTGAATTGAAAATACTGCAGGAAAAAAAGAATGGTTACATCTGTACTGAACACGTATAGACTATTTTTTCTTGTTACATTAGGGAACAATGTTAACTGTTTACATATCATTTACATTGTATTAGGTATTTTAGGAATCTAGAGATAATTAAAACTATACAGGAGGATGTGTGTAGGTTATATACTGATACACCATTTTATATAAAGGGACATGAGCATCCTTGGATTTGGGTATCCGCCAAGGGTCCTGGAACCATTCCTCCATGGATACTGAGGGAAGATTGTATCTGCAGAAATTTAGCCTAAATACTTAATCGATTACTCTGGAATATTTGCTATTAGAATATATCATGGTCCTAGCTGTTTCTACTATCCTAAGGTAGTATTTGTACAAATGAAAGGTTATTTGGGTGATCTTCCTAAATTAAGCATCTACCCAAAGTGATTTCCTATTATCTTCATTAAAAACTGCAAACAATTAAGTTTCTTTTCTCCTACAAAGATTTCTGCCTCACCTGGGATCCCGATATTCTTAGTAGCAGACACAATGGTAATCACTTTTCTTATAAATTAATTTTTGTTAAAGTTTGTCAAGAATTTATAAAAGACTGCACGTAGTAGGTAGCACTTGCCCTGGAGGCTAGATACACCCCCACCCTTACACCTCCAACCCACAAATCAAAACCACATTCAGAGAAATAACTTTTGAGATTTAGAAAAACGAATGGGTTTGGAGTAGCAAATGGGTATCAGCTATATATATTTCAAAAGAGCAGATGGCAGCCCTCCAGCAATTCTGGCTTGCCCTACACGGAGTAGCCCCCTACTCAAAATTAGAAACTCTTTCACCACAGCTGCCTGAATTTCTCTCTTCCGTTTTTTGGATAACTAGACTCCTCTTTTGGAAGAGATAATGCTGATGGAATATCTGCCATCATAACTGAGTGTGAATTAAGGGAAAAATAGATCGTCTGTCTCAACAGATGATGGCTTGTGCTGGGTTGGAAAGGTAGATCATGTAGATTGCTTTGGGAAAGGACAACATGCCTGGGCACTGGAAAGAGGAAGGGGAATTTTTTTTTTTTTATCTAACTATAGGATTGGCCGCTAGCAAAATTGTGAAGTAGGTGAGATTTGGTTTTGGGGTATCCTCTCGCCATCTCACCAGAATTCAGCTTTCAGTGCCTCCCTTTGCCAGATTTTTTACCTCTAGTATCTCTCTTCTGTCATTTTCTGCACACATCTACTTTCTAGCTTAATATTTGGAATCTAAACAACTCAGAATCCTTAATAGAATCCTTTCTAGGAAATGAATGTCTCATTTCTGCTGGGCTTGCAGACTTCTGAGGTAGCACCAGTGTCCAAGTAGAAGGCAGTCTATATTCTTAAGGGAATTTTCTTTTTTAAAAGGAAACCTCATTTCTACTGGTAGGCCAGAGATAGTAGTATACCCTGGAATGGACAAGAAAATTGGAAACTGGACTTATCCCAGGCACATAGGCAGAAACTGATGTCGTCAGATCCTTGTGCTGCTTATTCCTTTTTGTTCTCATTCCATAACTCTTTCTCTGTTCCTATATTAATCTCGGGTCAGAAATAGGCCTACTTAAATTTTAGTACCTTGAGAGCCTGTTCTTCCTAACAGAAATTTGCATAACAAAAATTATTGCAATGGGGTTCTTATATTGATAAATCTTTCAAAATAGAGATGCTGACTCCTTTGAAACAGTAAAGCACATACTACACATATTCAATATAATTAAAAGAAGTAAAATCCATAGAATCAGGATCTAAGCCAGTCCCCTTGACAAGTCACTTTCATATAAAGACTTACCGTTTAATGTCGTTCTTTTAAGAAAGATGTATTAGTGAGAAATGGTGGTGGGGGGAACCACAATCCAGAGCAAAAGCAGTGAAATGATTGAAGATGCATTCTTCAATCTGTAGGGTTTAGTAGGATTACTTAGGCTAGAGAAAAATCCATGAAGGTCATAATGACATTTTTATCATTTTAGACTCATGTATGCCATTTTTTATGTTGTCTTTCCAATACACATTAAATTTTTAAAGAGTGAGTGTTACTTTAAAAAGCAATGATTTAAAAATTTATCAGTTCTACCTTTCTGTAGTTTAATAAGAATTTTTACCTCCATCATTTAGAAATCAACCAAGGATTTGTTTTTGAAACTGCTAATGTGCTTTCTACAGGTGAAAAGTAACAGGTTTGTACCAATGTATTTTTAGCTTCTAAGAATGTACAGCTAATCAGCAATAAATGAAAAGAGTGTCAAGCTGATGTGACATACATACAACATATCAAGTAAGCTAAGCATTCTCTATTTTTCAGAAGTTATGGAAATGTTTGCTTGGAAAACTGATAAACGATCTTGAGCAATAATAAAATAATTGGCCTTTACTGGGTACTTATTATGTGCCAAGCACTGGACCCAGTACATCACGTATCTCATTTAAACCTCACAGCCAGTTGGTGGGACATGGTGGCACACGCCTGTAATCTTAGCTCTTCGGAAGGCCGAGGTGGAAGAATCACTTGAGGCCAGGAGTTCGAGACCAACCGAGCCAACATGGCAAAACCCTGTCTCTACTAAAAATAAACACATAAACACACACACACACACCCCCCACCCCCGACACACACACAGCCAGGCTTGGTGGCATGCACCTGTAATCCCAGCTGCTCGGGTGGCTGAGGCATGATAATAGCTTGAACCTGGGAGGCAGAGGTTGCTGTGAGCTGAGGTTGTGCCATTGCGCTCCAGCCTGGGTGACACAGAGAGACTGTCTCCCCAGAAAAATAAGTAAAATAAGCTTCACATCCAGCTTGCTGGCTTGTCAGTACCTATCTGGCACTAAATAGATGTTTTTGAAGAAAAGAAGGCAGCAGGTAGGCTGGTCATGGGATCTCAAGGAAATATTCAAGGTACAGATTAAGAAAAGATTTATCATATTAATTTCATAAATTCAGAAAATCTTGTAGAATAAAAAGCTGCCCAAAGTGGCAAAACTATAAGTGATAAAGATGGGATTTATCTGCAAATCTGTCCAAGGCCTAAGTCTATGCTCTTTTGACCAGATATTCCATACTTTCGTCTTTACACCTATATTAGCACATCTTCAGAAAATAGGTAGTTTCAGGTCAGCCATGAACTATGATAGCACACTGAATTTCATACATTAAAATACTAATACTGATCTGCACAATAGGAGAACACATTTTAAGTGAAACTGGGATTATGAAATATGTGAAAACAGGGATCACTTTTAAAGACTGCTACAAAGGCCATTGGTAGCTCCTCACTGATTGTGCTTAGATACACGTTGGTGGCTGTTATTCAAGTCAGGAGAGAAATCAAGACCATAGACAACTGAGGGGTAGGGAGATATTTTTCTGTCTTTCCCTGTTTTGTGTGTTTGTTTGCTTTTTTGACAGAGTCTTGTTCTGTTGCCCAGACTGGAGTGCAGTGGCGTGATCTCTGTTCACTGCAAACCTTTTCCTCCTGGGTTCAAGCGATTCTCCTTCCTCAGCCTCCTGAGTAGCTGGGACTACAGGCGCATGCCACCATGTCCGGCTAATTTTTTGTATTTTTGGTAGAAACGGGGTTTCACCGTGTTAGCCAGGATGGTCTCAATCTCCTGACCTCGTGATCCGTCCACCTCGGCCTCCCTAAGTGCTGGGATTACAGGCTTGAGCCACTGTGCCCAGCTTTTTCCCCTTCTCTTTAAGTCTACATTAAGAATCAGTGTAGAGCCACATTCAAGAAAAACACTGCCCTTTGATTGTTTGTTTGTTTGTTTGTTTTAATGCATAGGTAGTCATCTTTCCCCCACCAAAATAGAACTTGGGAATATGAATGTGTTCTTTTAAGAAGGAAAACAGTTCCTACCTACTGTGAGTTATTGGAGGGAGAGAAGCAGAGAGAGAAATCAGAACTGGGTGGTGGGAGAAGGAACAAATAGAGGAAAGGGAGGCAGGAGGAGAGGACTTAGGAGTTACTGAGTCCGACTGGTCACTGTGGAGTAGATGGTTGGACTTGACCCTCTGACCCTACTTCTTGACCACTGCAGGGTCCTTGTGGTCTTCCTCCAGCATCAGGCTGTACTAGGACAAGGGTCAGATCTCTGGGAGGGCTCCTAAAGGGCAAGAGCTTCTCTGTAATTGTTGCAAGCTCTAAGAAAATTGCTCACTTAACCTTCGATCTCCCAAAACCTCACTTTCACCCTTCTTCCACGCTCACTCCTTGTCTGTTCTGTACTTGTCCCTTTGTCTGTAATATTCCTTCTTATATAACTTTTAACCCAAAGCATTAAACTTCCACTCAAAGACTCCCCTGACCTCCCACTCATAACACTGAAGTATGGTGTATTCCCTCTTCCCTTTTTTACAAAGCCTGTGACCTTCTTCTAGGGCCTAGTCACTGTGTTTTATAATTATGTATAGACTTGTCTATCTCGACGAATAAACTCTAAGCCCTAGGATGTGCATGAATGATGTCTTTTATGCTCATTCTTGTCCCTCTGAAGTGTCTTCCTCATCATAAAATTGATGGTCAGAAAATAATGACAAAATATAAAATAACTAGGAATTGAACATGAACTAGGGAAGCGGGAGAAAGGCCAGGAGATAGCCACTGTTGGACTGGCTGTTATTCATGGACTGCTTCCCATCCTGTATCCCTTTCTCTCTCATGCTCCTTCCCAGATGCTAGTGCTCATGCCTTATTAAAAGATGGCGTCCTTGTGTTCATGTCCAACCTACTAAGCCCACTCTCGAGGTTTTAAATGATCTTTGCTTTTATCTTCTCTTACTCATCTCTAGATATTCTATTCCCTCTAACCTGTATCCCCCTTTTAAGAGATGAGATTTCATTCTGTCACCCAGGCTGGAGTGCCATGATGCCATCACAGCTCACTGCATCCTCCACCTCCCAGGCTCGCTAGTAGCTGGGACTACAAGTGTGCCACAACATCCAGCTAATTTTTAAATTTTTTGTAGGGATGGAGTCTCCCTGTGTTGGCAAGGTTGGTCTTAAACTCTTGAGCTCAGGTGATCCGTCCTTCTTGGCCTCCCAAAATGCTGGGATTATAGGCCTGAGCTGCTGTGCCTGGCCTAACCAGTACCCGTTGGTCCATGCATCATGAACTCCTTAGAGTTCCTGTAAAAGGGCTGTGCGCACTCTGCCTAGGTCCCCTGGCTTCCCATATTCTTTTTGCTTGAAATACTTGCATTGTTCTCTCTTCTCATTCTTTTACCTTCCAGCATCTATTAAATCTTCAATACTTCCATCTGATTTCCTCTGTCACCTCTAGACTATCGTTATAGCTATCAATGTAGGTATAATTGGTTTGCATATTTTCTCCCTAACCAAACTGAGTAGTGCATGGGGCAGGACTAGAATCTTCCTCTTCCCACTTAGCACAGCTCCAGCATTCCCAGTTGACACACTCTAATTGCCTGTTGAATAAAGGAATGGCTTTTTCCTTCTCCTGTCTTCTTTGGTAGAAAGCCCTTCCAATATCTGAATGAATCTGCCATCCCTGGAGCACAAGTCTATAGAGATCATTTAGAGATGTGTGTTCAACTATATTTGTTCATTGTAATGAATCGCCCTGGGATGTCAGCAAGAGGGCTTGTGCATCTGGACAGGAGGGAGAAGTCAAGGGAAGGTCTAGTCATCTATTTTTAGTAAGATTGCCATTTCAGGGATGGAATTAAAGACTGGGTGCCTACAGGCCAGATGTGCTAAAGATTAGTTACAATCTCTCTTGGTTTTTGGAAAGAGTTCCAAATGAGACATGGAATTCAGACTGGAGCTGTATTCAGTTCACCCTGTATTCAGTTCACTCTGGAGCTGGAACTTGAAAGATAAACTTCAGTATGAAAAAGAAACAGCAAGAAAACATACAAAAATGCTATTAGCAGCCACTCCATAGTTCTATATTATTTAATTTTGCCTTTCTATATAACTTTCTGTATTTCTACGTTCTACTTGTTTTATATCTTTCTTAGAAGATGCAACTAGAGATTTCAAACTAAGTTTTGCATGTTAAATCTAGAGTTGTAATATCTTTTTCTTCAGGAAAAAAAAAATCTTTGGAAACTTCAAGAGGCTTATAAAAACTTTCTATAAAGAATTAGATGATTAGTTGCATGTAATGATAATTAGAAATCCAGACATGTAATTTATGGGTTTGGCCTTTTAGAAATTAGACTTTATACTGTTTCACTTTTATAACTATAAGCTTGGACAGATGCAGCAAAATGCAGCATGCCACAAACACCACTAGACCTTGACTGGGTGCCCAGAGGTCTTGGCTGAATGTGAATTAACTAGCTTTGTAAAGGATGACTATTTACATGTACTGTAACCTTTGATTTCTTCAATTTGTAGAATTGTGCTAAGTGAATAGTCCCTAAGATATCTTCAGTATTTTAGAAAGGTACAAATAGCTTGAACCAAAGAAAAAATTGGGGAAAAATGTTAGATATCAGACAAATGACCACCAATGGTAACACACATTGCATTTTAAAATGTAAAGCTAGCTTTGTTCCTTGTTTGATATGAGTGGGAAATTAATGAGAGGGAGAAGCCACTGGAAAAGAGACTATTGAGCATATACCAGTGTGTTAGCTGACAGATCCTCCACAAAGTATGTTTATATGTTTTCTCATTTGACCCATGTAAGGCAGGGGGGGTAGGTGTCAGTATGCCCATTGGCAGACTGGAAAACAAGTATTTATATGTTAGCACGTGTGTATATACATATATGCCTGTACATATATATATATATTAGCATGTTTCTCTTCACCTACTATGCAGTCTATTCTCTGAAGACAGATTATACTTTGGGGATATTGTAGTTATCCCCAAATAGTGGAAGCCAGCATCTGGTGGAATCTTTTTTTTTTTTGGAGACAGAGTCTGGCTCTGTCACCCAGGCTGGAGTGCAGTGGGGCGATCTCGGCTCACTGCAAGCTCTGCCTCCCGGGTTCACACCATTCTCCTGCCTCAGCCTCTCAAGTAGCTGGGACTACAGGTGCCCACCAACACGCCTGGTTAATTTTCTGTATTTTTAGTAGAGACCTGGTTTCACCGTGTTAGCCAGGATGGTCTCGATCTCCTGACCTCATGATCCACCCACCTTAGCCTCCCAAAGTGCTGGGATTACAGGTGTGAGCCACCGCACCCGGCCAGCATCTGGTAGAATCTTAATCAATATTTGTTCAATGAGTAAATGGTTAAATGGATGATGTACTGATAACTTGTTGGCTTTGGAAATTAGCTTTATCTCAAAGTACAAAATCACATTTCTATGAGTGTCTTTTTAATTGAGGTAAAATTTACATAACATGAAATTCACCATTTTTGAAGTGAACCTTCCAATGACATTTAGTTCATACGTTTCCAGTATTTTGCACCCACCACATCTCTCTAGTTCTAAAACATTTTCCTCACCCCGAAAGGAAAGCCTGTACCCATTAAGCAGTTGCTCTCCACTATTCTCTGCCTCTGCTAACAACCAATCTGCATTCTGTCTTCCCATTGCTTTATCCATTCAGGATATTCTAGATGTAAACGGAATTATACAGTACATGATATTTGTGTCTGGCTGCTTTCACTCAGCATAATGTTTCTGAGGTTCTTCCACACTGTAGCATGTATCAATTCTTCACTCACATTATAACCTGAATACATGCTGAACAATATCTCATTGCATGTACTTACTACGGTTTGCTTACTCATTCATCCACTAATGTGTACTTGGGCTATTTTCAGCTTTTTTCTTTTGTGAATAGTTCTGCTATCAATGTGTGTGTGAATATGTATGTGTTTTAGTACCTGTTTTATTTTTGTTGTTGTTGTTGTTGGGTATATACTTAACAGTGTAACTACTAGGTAATATGGTAATCCTCTGTTTAACTTTTTGAGAAAACACCGAACTGTTTTCCACGGTGGCTGAAGCATTTTATTTTCCCACTGGGAACGTATGAAGGTTCTGGTTCCTCCATATCCTTGCCAACACTTATTTTCTTTGTCTTTTTAAAAATTTTAGCATCCTTGATGGTATGAAGTGATAGATTATTGTGGTTCAGATTTGCATTTGCCTAATGACTAATGATCCTGAGCATATTTTCAAGTGGTGGCTGGTCATTTCCATGAGATTTTATAGAAACATTAGAAGTCATTAATAAAACTCACAAAACACATTTTTTTCTATAACGAATTTTAGAGCTATTTTAGAAAATGTCATTGCTACAGATCTCATGCTTAAACCAGAATCTTAGAGTTATTTTGGACATTTTCTTCAGTTCCTACCATCCTGACAAGCAGCAAGTCCTGTTACAATGCCAACATTACCTTAAATAACTATACCTTTTTTACATTTCTATGATTGTTAGTGTAATCCAGTCCAACATGATCTATCTGTCTAACCGTTGCTTTGAATTTCATTATTTGCGTTATTTAATCCATACTCCACACAACAGCTAGAATTTTAATGAATTCGACCATGACAGTCCACTACTTAAAACCCATCCCTTTCCTCACATCGCACTTAGAAGAAAAAATAAAAGAAAGCTCCATGCCACAGCTTATTATTATTATTATAGGTGATAGGTATCACCTATCATTCCAACCACATATAAAACCACTCTTCTCATGGATACTGCTTTCCATCAAGTCTGGCCTTTCATCAGTTTCTAGAACATAACCTAGAGCATTTTCAGATACTGTTACATTGGCCTGTAAAATAGCTCCCAAATATCACATGGCTAGATCCTACTATTTTTTCTTAAATGTTACCATCTTAGACAAGTTCTTGCTGGCCAGGCTGTCTAAGATGAGTTATTCTCTATTGCAACAACACATTTATCACCTAAAGAGTATTTTTCTCCCCTTCAAATTGAACTTAACTGTATATGTACTTATTTTCTGCCTTTACATATTAGACATAAGTTCATTCATGGTGAGGATGATTTCTCTTTTTTGACCATGCTCTGCATATAGTTGATAACCTTGTTATCATTAATGAATGTGTGTGTATTCTTCATAAGTACAGGGATACTTGGAGTTCAGTGGGGGTTATGTATAAATGCCTGTACCTTCTTCAGAGGAAATTATTGAAAAAAAGGTTCATAACATGCTGTCAGTAAAGAGTAGTACTATATTCTGAGTGCTACATTTCTACAGAAGAACATGAGCCTCCTATTTCCCTGTCAACAATAAAATAATCCTCTTTGCAACCCATGGGCTGTACCGAGTGGCAGTGATGTGCCAAGTAGACAGAGGGGAGGATAAAGGAGAGGAACGGAACTGGTTAAGCGGAGAACGAAAGCTCATTCTCTCTTATCATGGTCTTGGCAGAGCTTATGTCTTGCCATTCAAGAGTCAGTACTTTATTTATTTCCACCTCTGTATCTGGTGAGCAGGCTCTAGACCTGTTGACATGAAAATCATCCATACAGCTGTGGAAGAAACATGATTAAATTGTGTTAGAATAGCTCAGCCTCTTTCTGACTAATAGAAAAGAAATAGTCTGGAGGCCATCATGGATCCCTGAAATGCCTGTAATCGGAATGCTACACTGCTGCAAATGCAAGAGGAAAACTAAGTTTATGCAAGCAGATAGAACTCAGTATTTCATGATGTCGAATTGAATGTGTTCGCTAGTTGAAAATCTAGACTTTTTTCTACTATATGATGAAAGTCTTGCTTGAACTCTATTTACTTGAACATTAATTTCCACCATATGTATATTCTAAAATTATGGGTCTTATTCCACTGCTTCCTTCTATAATAACGGCTACTTAGAGAATGTGAAAAATGTATTTGTTGTTTTCAATAGTAAGCTTACTAAATTGTCGTGTCACCTACTCAATCCATACTTCAACAAACTAAAATAATTCCTTCTTTCCCAAATGCTTTCAAGTGCCTGATTTCAATTGATGCTCTCGACCATAACTCTGGGATATAGGATGGGAAGGTTTAAATGAGAATGGTAGGATTTTCAGTTTTAAATTGGCAATATGGCATAGGTATTGCAGAGTCTAGTACATGAAGAAACTGTAGGGATCAAAAGACTTGGCTAAGTGTATAAGTCAGTTAAACGGTAGGCATAGAAAACTAAAATCTAGGCAGATCTCTGGAAGAGAATTTTAAGAAAACGTGTGTGTACAGGTATACGCAGAAACACATACTGAGGACTTCCAAGAAACTATTTATCTTTTTAGAACCTGAAAATACATATACGTAGATATTACAGAGATAGTTTTCTAGGATTTGGGTTAAATGTTAGCATCTTGGTTAATATAGTCTACTGAGAAAATGGTTATACTTTTTAATATCAGAAACGAAATATTTCTATGCCTTTAAATGGCTCCATAATTAGACTTCTATTTTCTTGACATTCTGTTTACCTTTAGAAGCACCTAAACTCTGTAAACTTCCAAAGGTGCAATATCATTACCATACTTAGTGATGTGATTTCAATCTTAAGAAATCATGCTGAAAGATACGTCTTTAGGTGTGATCCCACCTTTCTTAAGGATATTTTTTCTTCTCAAAATTTTACACAGGTTACTTAGTCTCAGAAGTGATTTTAGATTGTATGGTCAGAACAGAAGGCTTATAGGAACACAAGTAAATCTTATAGATCTTCCAATCCCTTAAATCCTTAATAGCATAAGTGGTTTATTTACCTTCTTTTTATACTTGATTGCTTATTTTTCTACCATTGCAGGCTAATTTGTACTTCCCTGAGACCATTTATTTAATAATGCTATATTTTAGCCTTTTATTTTGATGTGATTTCAGTTTTAGAAAAAAGCTGCAAATACATATATATTCCATATGCCTTTACAGAGATTTTCCAAATTTTAACATTTTATGTAACTCCTGCACAACAAAATTATCAGAACCAGGAAATTAATATTGGAAACATTCTATTTACTAATCTCCAGGCCTTACCCAAATTTCACAAATTGTCACAGTAATGTCTTTTTTTCTGTTCTAGTTTATAATCCAGAATCCCACACTGCATTGTGTTTTCACGTCGTCGTCTTTTCTTCTAATCTAGGGCAGTTCTTCAGCCTCTTTTTCTTGAGTCTTACAATTTTGACATGGATTCACTCGTTAATTTATAGAATGTTCCTCAATTTGTGGTTGTCTAACATTCCTTATGATTAAAATAAGATAATGTAGCTTTGGGCAAGAATATCATAGAAGTGATTTTGTATCATCTCTGTTTACCTAACTCCTTTCCCCAACAGTAAGTATCTGGATTACATTAACCACATACTTATTATTTTATTTTTACTTATTTAGTATTTAAAAATACGTCCTCTGGGTTTTTATATGACATTTTTCTTTTTAAGGGGAAAGAGTTGCTGAGGTTTTTACAACATTATTGAGATATAATTTATATGCCATATATTCACCACATTGAAGTAGACAGTTTACTGATTTTTTTCTAGTACATTCACAGAATTGTGCAGCCATCAGTATAGTTTAATTTTAGAACTTTTGTTATACCAAAAAGAAATCGCCACTTATTCTGTGGGTCCCCATTCCCATGACCTCCTTCAATCCTCAGCCACATACAATAACTGATTACTTTATATTAAAATAGATTTCCCTATTTTGAACACTTCATATGGAGGAAAATGCGTGGTTTTTGGATTCTTTCAATTAGAATAATTTCAACATTTACTCACGTCATATAGGATGTTTCAGTACTTCATTCCTTTTCATTGCTGAATAATATTCCATTGCAATTCCACTTTTTTTTTATCCATTCCTCAATTGATATTTAGGATGTTTCAGCTTTTTGACTTACGAATAATGCTGCTATGGGAGTTCATGTAAGAGGTACTCTTTTTTTTTCCCATTTTTTTCTTGTGGTAAAATGTACAAAACATAAAACCTACTGTCTTAACCATTTTTAAGTACAGTCAACTCTCCATATCCACAGGTTCACGATTGAAAATATTTGAAAATAAAAAATTAAAAATAGTACAAATTAAAATATATAGAAACTATTTACATGGCATTTACATTATGTTAGATACTCTAAGTAATCTGGAGATGATTTAAAGTATACAGAAGGACAGGCATAGATTATATGCAAACACACCAGTTTATGTAAGGTGCTTGAGCATTTATGAACTTTGGTATCTGTGTGGGGTCCTGGAACCAATCCCCCCAAATACCAAGGGGGAACTGTATACATTTCAGGGACGTTAAATACAATTCTATTGTTGTGACACTATTGTCACCATCCATCTCTAGACACCTTTTAATATTGTAAAACTGAAACTCTACACCCATTAAAGAACTCACCATTCCCCTTTCACCCCAACCCCTAGTAACTATCATTCTACTTTCTGTCTCTATGACTTTTGAATATTCTAAGTAATTCATTTAAGTGGAATCATATGGTATTCATGTTTCTTGAAAAGCTTATTTTATCTTAGCATAATTTCTGCAAGTATCATCCATGTTATAGCAGCATTTCCTTTTTTAAGGCTGAGTAATAATTCATCATATGTAAATACTACTGCTTATCCATTCTTCTGTCAATGGACCCTTGAGTTGTGTACGTATTTTAGCTATTGGGAATAATGCTGCTATGAACATGCATGCATCTCTCTTTGAGGCTCTGCTTTCAGTTCGTTTGTGCATATACCCAGGAATGGAATTGCTGAATCATACGGTAATCCTACTTTTGAGATTTTGAGTAATTGCCTGCCCCTGCTCTTATTTGGTTACTATTGGCATGGTATTTTTTAAAAATCTTTTTTTTTTTTTTTTTTTTTTTTTGAGATGGAGTCTGGCTCTGTTGCTCAGGCTGTAGTGCAGTGGTGCGATCTCGGCTCACTGCAAGTTCCACCTCCCAGGTTCATGCCATTCTCCTGCCTCAGCATCCCAAGTAGCTGGGACTACAGGCACCCGCCACCATTCCTGGCCAATTTTTTGTATTTTTTTGGTAGAGACGCGGTTTCACCGTGTTAGCCAGGATGGTCTCGATCTCTTGACCTTGTGATCTGCCCGCCTTGGCCTCCCAAAGTGCTGGGATTACAGGCATGAGCCACCACGCCCGGCCTTAAAATCTTTTTATGGTCAACCTTTGCATGTCTTTGAATCTAAAGTGAGTTGCTTGTAAGCAGCATATAGCTGGATAGTAATTTTTTAAAAACGCTTTCTGCCAAACTCTGTCTGTTGATTGGATAGTTCAATATGTTTGCATTTAAAATAATTACTGATATGGAGGGTTTTACTTCACTTTGATATTTGCTTTCTACATTTGATAGTATTTTTGTGCCTCCTTTCATTACTGATGTATTCTGTGGGGTTTTTTTTTTTTTGATAGTGAAACACTTAAATTATTTTCTCATTTCCTTTTGCGTATGTTTGCTGTTTCTTTGTAGTTAACATAGGGATTTCACTTAATATCCTAAAGTTATAACACAGTTGGAATTTTTACCAGCTTAACATTAAAAACACATAAGACAAAACTCTAACAAAACTCTGCTCTTTTAACAACTTCATCCCCACCCCTTTTAGTTGTTGTCACAAAATTATGTTGTTATAAATTGTGTGCCCAAAAACATCAGTTGATATTTTTAATGCATCAGTTGCTTAAATTTTACATGAAACAAAATGTGGAGTTACAAATCAACGTTATAATAATACTAACTTTTAGACTAATGGTTGTTTTACTCTTAAAGTTTTATTAGTCTCTTTAATCATGTAGAAAGCTAGAAGTGGAATTGCATACCATTGTTACAGTAATACTAAATTTTATGGCCAGGCAAGATGGCTACGGCCTGTAAATCCCAGAACTTTGGGAGGCCGAGGCGGGTGGAGCATGAGGTCAGGAGATTGAGACCATCCTGGCCAACATGGTGAAACCCCGTCTCTACTTTAAAAAAAAAAAAAAAAAAAATTTTTTTTTCTTTTAGCATTTTGAGTATAAATATATCACCCCATTGCCTTCTGATGTCCAAAGTTCTGATGAGAACTCTGTTGATAATCTCATTGAAGACCTCTTGTATGTCAGAAATATCTTATCTCTTTCTACATTCAAAATTCTCTTTGTCTTTGTCATTCAGTGTGAGTCTCTGAATTCATCCTGCTTGGAGTTTGTTGAGCTTCTTAGTTGTTTCTATATCTTTCATCAAATTTAAAAAGTTTTTAGCCTTATTTCTTCAGATATTCTGTCTCTTTCCCTTTCCTTTTACCCCTTGGATTTCCCCAATACATAGTTGATCACTTGATGATATACCCATAGGTTTCTAACACTCTGCTCACTTTTCTTCAGTTTTTTTCTCTTCCTGTTTCTTGAATATGGTAATTTCTTATAGTCCTATCTTCAAGTTCACTGACTCTTCTTCCTGTTCAAATATGTCTTTGAGTTTCTTTAGTGAATTTTTTTTTTTACTTCAGTTATTGTAGTTTTCAGCCCTATAATTACTTTTTGGTTTCTAAGATTTTCTGTCTCTTTATTGATATTTCGGTTCCTTGAGTACCATTAAAATAGTTGTTTTAAAGTCTTTATCTAGTAGATCTACCATGAAATCTTTTTTAGAAACAGTTTCTGTTCATTTACCTTTCTCTTTTAATGATCTATACTTCTCTATTTCTTTGTATGCCTTATGAAAAATGCCTTGTTGAAAATGCCTTGTCAAAAAATTGACATGTGGATCAATAATGTGATATTCTGAAAATCAAATTATCCTTTCCCAAGGTTTGCTGTTTTTTGTTTTTTTTTTAATTTTTGTTTGTATGATGTTGTAGTCTGTCCCCATAGTGAAGATCATATGAGGTGTAAACTTAAGATCTTTCAGGATCTTTTGAGGTTGTGCCTTTCCCCTTCCCCAGGCATGCACAGTGACTTCCTTATTTCTGCTGTATATGCAGTTGTTTTGAATGTTCTAGACTCCAAAAATGGTAAAAAAAGAAAAATGAGGGGGGAGGGGAAAGAGCGCAGACACATTAAGTCGGAAGTTGCATGGCCAGAAGAGGAGGGATTTGTGGAAAGGGAATGTGGGAGGTACAACAATGGCTACCCATCTCTGCGTCAGGACCTCCATGATCAGAAGCAGTACTCGACAGTCAGAACACAGATCCACAATGTTTTGGGGAACAATCCACAATGTTTTGGGGACAGATGCTTTATTGCCCACCCTGGCTCCAGCAAGCTGAATGCAAGCTGGGCCAGGAATATGCACATGCTACTTAATGCTGGGCTAAGGGGTAGAGATTGGTAGCAGCTGCTAATAGTTAAAGTTGATTAAACTTACTGCCGTTTACTAGCTAAGATTTTTCCTAGGAATTGCAAGTCTGCAATAGACTCCAGAGTTGCAAAATAGTTTTATCAGGCAGATTGTGACAATTTAATTGTTCTCTAGGTGGGGATACAGATTTCTGGTGCTTCCTATTCCACTGTCTTCTCTCAATCTTCCTGCAACCATATACTTTTATTTTGTTGGGTTAATTTCCATAAAGTAATTTCAGAATTGCTGGAGCAACTTGATAATTGCTAACCGAGATTTCTATGGCAAACAGATATACTAAATTGAATATAATATTTGTGTATCATTCTTTTTGTATTTATACTAGGTACATAGGCTCGACATATTGTTTTCCCAAGTTACTTAGGTTTGTTTCTCTACCCTCCCCTATAAGTGTGGTTATTGCACTTTTTTTGTGTGTGGTTTTTTATTTGCAATAGGTAGTCTTATTTTTTATTTTTTGTCTTCAATTTTGAGTCTCCTCACATTCTGGTTGATTTTCATTTTTATGTATTATTTGAGTATGTAAAATACCACCATGAGGCTAAACATCAGAATTAACTAAAAACGTAAATTCAGGGAAGTGTCTCTCCTCTCTTATCCTTTCTACTTCATTGCCATTCTTTCATTTTACCCTCCATTTCCACCCTCTTTAGTTTTTTATTTAGTTCTATTAGGTTTTGGTTTAACCTTCCTAAGTAGATTTTTTTGCACATTATAATAATCAGGTGCATATATATTTTATCTCTATCAAATTCAAAAGCACCTTTTTTTTTTTTTTTTTTTTTAAGATGGAGTCTTGCTGTGTCACCCAGGCTGGAGTGCAGTGGTGCGATCTCTGTTCACTGCAACCTCTAACTCCGGGGTTCAAGCAATTCTC
This sequence comes from Homo sapiens, assembly GCF_000001405.40. Taxonomy (NCBI): domain Eukaryota; kingdom Metazoa; phylum Chordata; class Mammalia; order Primates; family Hominidae; genus Homo; species Homo sapiens. The sequence continues at coordinate 165,683,558 of NC_000005.10, forward strand.
CTACCTCAGCCTCCCGAGTAGCTGAGACTATAGGCGCCCGCCACCACGCCTGGTTAATTTTTTGTATTTTTAGTAGAAACGGGGTTTCACTGTGTCGGCCAGGGTAGTCTCGATCTCCTGACCTCGTGATCTGCCTGCCTCAGCCTCCCAAAGTGCTGGGATTACAGGTGTGAGCCACAGGGCCTAGCCAAAAGCTACTACTCTATAAATATTTTTTGTTTTTCCGTCTTTTATTACTTTAAACGTGTCTTGTAAATCATTCTGTTTCAGTCCACTGAGGTCTTTTTTCAGTTTTGTATTGGTCTATCGTACTCCATTTTTTTAAACGTACCATCTATTATTAACCAGTCTACCATGTATAGTCACCTGGAAGAGTTCTGTATTTTTGAAATTACAAACAATGCTGCAATAAATAACCTTGTGCAAATACATTTTTGTGTTATTGAGAATGTATCATAAGGGTAAGTTTCTAAAAGTAAAATTGCCGAGTCAAAAAGTAAGTACATATGCAGTTATATTAGGTATTGCCATATTCTCTAGCAGTGTATGAAAATGTCTGATTCTCCAGTAATCCCACAGAAAGTATTTTCATGTTATAAAAGAAATTGCCAGTCTGAGAGTTAATAAATCATATCTCAATGTTAATTTGTATTTCTCTATCAGTGAGTTTGAACATATTTTCATAAGCCTAAGGGCCATTTTTTTAAACTTTTTTATCAATTGTCTGTTCATATTTTTTTCTCATTTTTTGTTGGGTTTTGATGGTCTTTACCTCAAGTTTTAAAAATTATATGTTAGGGATATAAACCTTTTTTTCTGGAATATGCGTGACAAAATGTTCTCCCATATCTTCAGTTGTCTTTTATATTTATTCATGATGTTTTATGTAAGGCAAAACATTTATGTAGTCAAATTTTATCAATCTTTCTTTTCATTGCCTCTGGACTTTTGGGTCATAATTAGAAGACATTTCTACATTGATGTTAAAGGGGAATTCATCCATAATTTCTTCTTCTAGTACTCTTAGGGTTTACTTTTGTTTTTTACATTTAGATCCATTGTTCATTTGGCTTTGATTCTTGTATATGGTGTGCAGTATGAGCATAATTGTATGTTTTTGCAAATTATAAAGTTTTTGTTCGTAGATTGGTTTTCTTTGTAGATTGTATGTTTTTGTAAAAATGCCCAGTTGTCCCATTAATATTTATTAAAAACTTCATCTCTTTCCTACTAAAATGAGATGTCATCGTTATTAGATATTAAAAGTATCAGCCAGACTCTGTAGCTCATGCCTGTAATCCCAGCACTTTGGGAGGCCGGGGCGGGTGGATCACGAGGTGAAGAGTTTGAGACCATCCTGGCCAACATGGTGAAACCATGTCTCTACTAAAAATACAAAAATTAGCTGGGTGTTGTTGCACGCACCTGTAGTCCCAGTTACTTGGGAGGCTGAGGCAGGAGAATCACTTGAACCCGGGAGGCAGAGGTTGCAGTGAGCCAAGATTGCGCTACTACACTGCAGTCTGGCAAGAGAGCAAGACTCTGTCTTATGTATATATATAAAATAAAGCAAATAAAAATAAAAGTATCAAATAATACATGTAGTCGGGACCTATATGTAATTTTTTTATTCTTGTTTGTCTGTTCAAATACCACTAACAATATTGTTTTAATTATAGAGGATTCATAGTCTGTTTTGAAAACTGTTAGTCACCCCATGTAGTTTTCTTTTTTAGTCTTTTCTATTTGTTTTTGTTTGCTTTTTCCATATCAACTCTATATAACTCTAGAAAATGTGTTTTGGGATTTTTATTGGAATTTCTTAAAGTATACCAATTAAACTACAGAAAAACTCATTCTTTTATTTTTATTATTATTATTATTATTTTTTGAGATGGAGTCTCACTCTGTTGCCCAGGCTGGAGTGCAGTGGTGCGATCTCGGCTCACTGCAAGCTCTGCCTCCTGGGTTCACACCATTCTCCTGCCTCAGCCTCCCGAGTAGCTGGGACTACAGGCGCCCGCCACCACACCTGGCTAATTTTTTGTATTTTTTTTTTGTTTTTTTAGCAGAGACAGGGTTTCACTGTGTTAGCCAGGATGGTCTTGATCTCCTGACCTCATGATCTGCCCGCCTCGGCCTCCCAAAGTGCTGGGATTACAGGCACGAGCCACCACACCCGGACAAAAGTCATTCTTTTAATGTTAAACCATTCCATCTCGGAATATGGAATGCCTTCCCATTTTTCAGGTCTACTTTGTCTTTCAGGAATATATTAAAGTTCTCCTTCAATAGATTTTGCACATTTCTTGTTAAATTCATTCCTTAGTATCTACTCCTTTGTTTGTGAAAACATTATTTTTCTGTGTGTAATTTTGTATTCTGCTCTCATCATGAATGTTTGATTGAATTAATTTTATCATTGATTGATTTAGCTTTTCCAAGTATAAAATCAAATGTTTGAGATTTTTTCTTATCAATTTTATAGCTCAATTTGATATCTGTCATCCAATAAAAATGGCTAATACTCATAAAGCCATTTTGAGTAGTAATGGGGGTAGTTGGCATTTTTGCCTCTTTCCTGATCTTAGGAAACATCTTAGTGTTTTCATATTAAGTAAGCATTTAAGTGTTTAAGTATTTAAGTAAAATACTTGATTTGTGGCTGAAGATGAACATGATCACGTATATAGGATGTATCATTCAATTTCTATGTTTTTGAGTTTTTTAAAAATCAGAAATATATATGTTCTTTCAATAGCTTTTCAGTATCCATGGAATTATGTCTTAAAATATATTAATTTATATGACATAATATCAATGGATTTCATAGTATTGAACCAATCTTACAGTTCTAGGGTAAATCCCACTTTGTCATGGTGTATTTCTTAATGTAGTGTAAAGTCTGCTTACTATTTTGTTTACTATATGTGCATTGCTATCCATAGCAATATTTATTGCTTTCTTTTTTGGCACTGTTTTTATAAAATTGAGATATTAATGTTATATTAGCTTTATAAAGAATTAGGAAGTTATCCTTTTTTTTTTTTTTCCTCTGGAACAACAAAGCACTGGATCTTTCTTAGTACACATAGGGTTGGTAGAAGTCCTCTGAGAAAGCATCTTGATTTTTATTTTCCTTTTCTTTCTTTCTTTTTTTTATGGTGCAGTTCCTTAATAATCTTTTCTACTCTTTTTCTATGGACATGGGCCTCTTTAAGCTTGCTATTTCTAATAGGATTATGTTTTGTAGTGTGTTTTTACTTGGGAATTTCATCAAGGTTTTTATTCTTTATTTTTTGATGAACTGTCTGCAGAGAAGTCTTTGATGGTTTTATAATGTTACTCTTTTTCAATGACTATTTTGCCTCTTATTTTCTCAATATGTAATTTCTCCCTTTCTTCTTGATCAGGTTAGATGTTTGTTAATTTTTTTCTGGAAAGATAGACTTTAGATTTATTAAGTTACTGTTTTTCTATTTTCTCATTAATCATGGCTCTTATCTTTGTTACGTCCGTATACTTTCCTTTGGCTTACTTACTTTGCTGTTCTTTAGTTGTTGACATCTTTTTAGTTTTGTTTTGTTTTAATTCATATCATCTGTAACTTTTTAATCAGATGATTTTCCCATAGAAATTGTTCAGATAAAACTAAACATACCTCAGTATGAATACACAGCATACACAGTAAAACGTTAGAAAACATACCTCAGTATGAATACACAGCATACACAGTAAAACATGTTAGAAAACATCTCTCTGTTGAAATTACTCCACATAAGAGAACGATATTTTTTAGTAAAGATTTTACACCATCATCTACATTTCTGTATTTAAAGATCTGGGGTAGGAGAGGACAATGACTTTCCTTTTTAAGTTTTTTTTTTATTATACTTTAAATTCTGGGATACATAGTGCAGAATGTGCAGATTTGTCACACAGGTATCCATGTGCCATGGTGGTTTGCTGCACCCATCAATCCGTCATCTACATTAGGTATTTCTCCTAATGCACTCCCTCCCCTTGGCCCCACCCCCAACAGGCTCCCAGTGTGTGATGTTCCCCTCGCTGTGCCCATACGTTCTCATTGTTCAATACCACTTATAAGTGAGAGCATGAGGTGTTTGGTTTTCTGTTCATGTGTTAGCTTTCTGAGAATGATGGTTTCCAGCTTCATCCATGTCCCTGCAAAGGACTTGAACTCATCCTCTTTTATGGCTGCATAGTATTTCATGGTATATATGTGCCACATTTTCTTTATCCAGTCTATCATTGATGGGCATTTGGGTGGGTTCCAAGTCTTTGCTATGGTGAATAGTGCTGCAATAAACATGCGTGTGCATGTGTCTATATAGCAGAATGATTTATAATCCTTTGAGTATATGCCCAGTAATGGGATTGCTGGGTCAAATGGTATTTCTGGTTCTGGATCCTTGAGGAATCACCACAGTTTTTCACAATGGTTGAACTAATTTACACTCTCACCACAGTGTAAAAGCATTCCTATTTCTCCACATCTTCTCCAGCATCTGTTGTTTCCTGACTTTTTAGTGATCACCATTCTAACTGGTGTGAGCTGGTGTCTCATTGTGGTTTTGATTTGCATTTCTCTAATGATCAGTGATGATGAGCTTTTCTTCATGTTTGTTGGCCGCATAAATGTCTTATTTTAAAAAGTGTCTGTTCATATCCTTCACCCACCCACTTTTTGATGGGGTTGTTTTTTTCTTGTAAATGTGTTTAAATTCCTTGTGGATTCTGGGTATTAGCCCTTTGTCTGATGGATAGGTTGCAAAAATTTTCTCCTATTCTGTAGGTTGCCTGTTTACTCTGATAGTTTCTTTTGCTGTGCAGAAGCTCTTTAGCTTAATTAGATGCCATTTGTCAATTTTGTCTTTTGTTGACATTGCTGTTGGTGTTTTAGTCATGAAGTCTTTGCGCATGCCTATGTCCTGAATGGTATTGCCTAGGTTTTCTTCTAGGGTTTTTATGGCATTAGGTCTTATGTTGAAATATTTAATCTATCTTAATTTTTGTATAAGGTGTAAGGAAGGGGTCCAGTTTCAGTTTTCTGCATATGGCTAGCCAGTTTTCCTAACACCATTTATTAAATAGGGAATCCTTACCCCATTGCTTGTTTTTTTCAAGTTTGTCAAAGATCAGATGGTTGTAGATATGTGATGTTATTTCTGAGGGCTCTGTTCTGTTCCATTGGTCTATATCTCTGTTTTGGTACCAGTACCATGCTCTTTTGGTTACTGTAGCCTTGTAGTATTGTTCGAAGTCAGGTAGCATGACGCCTCCATCTTTGTTCTTTTTGCTTAGGATTGTCTTGGCTATACGGGCTCTTTTTTGGTTCTGTATGAAATTTAAAGTAGTTTTTCCTAATGCTGTGAAGAAAGTCAGTGGTAGCTTGATGGGAATAGCATTGAACCTGTAAATTACTTTGGGCAGTATGGCCAGTTTCATGGTATTGATTCTTCCTATCCATGAGCATGGAATATTTTGCTACTTGTTTGTGTCCTCTTTTATTTCCTTGAGCAATGGTTTGTAGTTCTCCTTGAAGAGGTCCATCACATCCCTTATAAGTTGTATTCCTAGGTATTTTATTCTCTTTGTAGCAGTTGTGAATGGGAGTTCACTCATGATTTGGCTCTGTTTGTCTATTGGTGTATAAGAATGCTTGTGATTTTTGCACACTGATTTTGTATCCTGAGACATTGCTGAAGTTGCTTATCAGCTTAAGGAGTTTTGGGGCTGAAATGATGGGGTTTTCTAAATATACAATCATGTCATCTGGAAACAGAGATAATTTGACTTCCTTTCTTCCTATTTGAGTACCATTTATTTCTTTTTCTTGCCTGATTGCCCTGGCCAGAACTTCCAATACTATGTTGAATAGAAGTGGTGAGAGAGGTCATCCTTGTCTTGTGCCGGTTTTAAAAGGGAATGCTTTCAGCGTTTACCCATTCAATATGATATTGACTGTGGGTTTGTCATAAATAGCTCTTATTATTTAGAGATATGTTCCATCAATACCTAGTTTATGGAGTGTTTTTTAGCATGAAAGGATGTTGAATTTTATCAAAGGCCTTTTCTGCATCTATTGAGATAGCCATGTGGTTTTAGTCATTGGTTCTGTTTATGTGATGGGTTACATTTATTGATTTGCACATGTTGAACCAGCCTTGCCAGCTTGATTGTGGTGGATAAGCTTTTTGATGTGCTGCTGGATTTGGTTTGCCAGTATTTTATCGAGGATTTTTGTATCAATATTCATCAGGGATGGTGGCCTGAAATTTTCTTTTTTTGTTGTGTCTGCCAGGTTTTGGTATCAGGATGATGCTGGCCTCCTAAAATGAGTTAGGGAGGAGTCCCTCTTTTTCTGTCATTTGGAATAGTTTTAGAAGGAATGGTACCAGCTCCTCTTTGTACCTCTGGTAGAATTCAGCTGTGAATCTGTCTGGTCCTGGGCTTTTTTTGGTTGTTAGCCTATTAATTATTGCCTCAATTTCAGAACTTATTATTGGTCTATTCAGGGATTCAACTTCTTCCTGGTTTAGGCTTGGGAGGGTATATATGTCCAGGACTTATCCTTTTCTTCTAGATTTTCCAGTTTATTTGCATAGAGGTGTTTATAGTATTTTCTGATGGTAGTTTGTATTTCTGTGTGATCAGTGATCTCCCCATTTATCATTTTTTATTGTGTCTATTTGGTTGTTCTCTCTTTTCTTCTTTATTAGTCTAGCTAGCAGTCTATTTTGTTAATCTTTTCAGAAAACCAGCTCCTAGTTTCACTGAGGTTTTTGAAGGGTTCTTTTGTGTCTCTCTCCTTCAGTTTTGCTCTGATCTTAGTTAATTCTTGTCTCCTGCTGGCTTTTGAATTTGTTTGCTCTTGCTTCTCTAGTTCTTCTAATTGTGATGTTAGGGTATCAACTTTAGATCTTTCCCACTTTCTGATATGGGCATTTAGTGCTGTAAATTTCCCTCTAGACACTGCTTTAGCTTTGTCCCAGAGATTCTGGTACATTGTGTCTTTGTTCTCATTGGTTTCAAAGAACTTATTTATTTCTGCCTTAATTTCATTATTTACCCAGTAGTCATTCAGGAGCAGGTTGTTCAGTTTCCATGTAGTTGTGCAGTTTTGAGGGAGTTTCTTAATCCTGAGTTCTAATTTGATTGCACTGTGGTCTGAGAGATTGTTTGTTATGATTTCAATACTTTCGCATTTGCAGAGGAGTGTTTTACTTCCAATTATGTGGTCAATTTTAGAATAAGTGCAGTGTGGTGCTGAGAAGAATGTATATCCTGTTGATTTGGTGTGGAGGGTTCTGTAGATGTCTATTAGGTCCACTTTGTCCAGCTGACTTCAAGTCCTGAATATCCTTCTTAACTTTCTGTCTCAATGATCTGGCTTATATTGACAGTGGGGTGTTAAAGTCTCCCACTATTATTGTGTGGGAGTCTAAGTCTCTTTGTAGGTCTCTGAGAACTTGCTTTATGAAGCTGGCTGCTCCTGTACTAGGTGTGTATATATTTAGGATAGTTATCTCTTCTTATTGCATCGATCCCTTTACTATTATGTGATGCCCTTCTTTGTGTTTTTTGATCTTTTTTGATTTAAAGTCTGTTTTATCAGAGACTAGGACTGCAAACCCTCCCTTTTTTTTTTTTTTTTTTTTGGCTTTCCATTTTCTTGGCAAATCTTCCTCCACCCATTTATTTTGAGCCTATGTGTGTCTTTGCATGTGAGATGGGTTTCCTGAATAGAACACACCAATGGGTCTTGACTCTTTATCCAATTTACCAGTCTGTGTTTTTAATTGGGGCATTTTGCCCATTTACCTTTAAGGTTAATATTGTTATGTGTGAATTTGATCCTGTTATGATGCTAGCTGGTTAGTTTGCTCATTAGTTGATGCAGTTTCTTCATAGTGTCAATGGCCTTTACATTTGGGTATGTTTTTGCAATGGCTAGTACTGGTTTTTCCTTTCCATATTTAGTGCTTCCTTCGGGAGCTCTTATAATGCAGGCCTGGTGGTGACAAAATCCCTGAGCATTTGCTTGTCTGTAAAGGATTTTATTTCTCCTTCACTTTTATAGACATTAATTTGACTAGACATGAAATTCTGCATTGAAAATCATTTTTCTTTAAGAATGTTGAATATTGGCCCCCATTCTCTTCTGGCTTGTAGGGTTTCTGCAGAGAGATATGCTGTTAGTCTGATGGGCTTCCCTTTGTGGGTAACCTGAACTTTCCCTCTGGCTGCCCTTGAACATTTTTTCCTTCGTTTCAACCTTGGTGAATCTGATGATTATGTGTCTTGGGGTTGCTCTTATTGAGGAGTATCATGGTGGTGGTCTCTGTATTTCCTGAATTTGCATGTTGGCCTGTCTTGCTAGGTTGGGGAAGTTCTCCTGGATGGTATCCCGAAGTGTGTTTTCCAACTTGGTTCCATTCTCCCCATTACTTTCAGGTACACCAATCTTAAATGTAGGTTTGGTCTTTTCACATAGTCCTATATTTCTTGGAGGTTTCGCTCATTCCTTTTCATTCTTTTTTCTCTAATCTTGTCTTCATGCCTTATTTCATTAAATTGATCTTCAATCTCTGATAACCTTTCTTCCACTTGATCAATTTGGTCATGGATAGTTGTGTATGCTTCACGAAGTTCTCATGCTGTGTTTTTCAGCTCCATCAGGTCATTTATGTTCTTCTGTAAACTGGTTATTCTAGTTACAAGTTGCTGTAATCTTTTATCAAAGTTCTTAGCTTCCTTGCATTTGGTTAGAACATGCTCCTTTTACTTGGAGGAGTTTGTCATTACCCACCTTCTGAAGCCTATTTCTGTCAATTCATCAAACTCATTCTCCATCCAGTTTTGTTCCCTTGCTGGCGAGGAATTGTGATCCTTTGGAGGAGAAGAGGCATTCTGGTTTTTGGAATTTCCAGCCTTTTTGCGCTGGTTTTTCCTCATCTTCGTGGATTTTTCTACCTGTGGTCTTTGATGTTGGTGATCTTTGGATGCGGTTTTTGCGTGGCGGTCCTTTTTGCTGATGTTGATGCTGTTGCTTTCTGTTTGTTAGTTTTCCTCCTAGCAGTCAGGACCCGCTTCTCCAGGTCTGCTGGAGTTTGCTGGAGCTCCACTCCAGACCCTGTTTGCCTGAGTATCACCAGTGGAAGCTGTAGAACAGCGAATATTGCTGCCTGCTCCTTCCTCTGGAAGCTTCGTCCCAGAGGGACACCCACCAGATGCCAGCCGGAACTCTCCCATAAGAGGTATCTGTTGACCCCTGCTGCAAGGTGTCTCCCAGTCAGGAGGCACGGGGGTCAGAGACCCACTTGAGGCAGTCTCTCCCTTAGCAGACCTGGAGCGCTGTGCTGGGAGATCCACAGCTTTCTTCAGAGCCAGCAGGCAGAAATGTTTAAAAGTCGCTGAAGCTGCACCCACAGCCACCCCTTCCCCCAGGTGCTCTGTCCCAGGGAGATGGGAGTTTTATCTATAAGCCCGTGACCGAGGCTGCTGCCTTTCTTTCACAGATGCCCTGCCCAGAGAGGAGGAATCTGGAGAGGCATTCTGCTACAGTGGCTTTGCACTGCTGCGGTGGGCTCTGCCCAGTCCAAACTTCCTAGTGGCTTTGTTTACCCTGTGAGGGGAAAACCGCCTACTCATGCCTCAGTAATGGTGGACGACCCTGTCCCCACCAAGCTTTAGCATCCCAGGTCGACTTCAGACTGCTGTGCTGGCCGCAAGAATTTCAAGCCAGTGGATCTGAGCTTATTGGGCTCCATGGTGGGGGTGGGATCTGCTGAGCAAGACCGCTTGGCTCGCTGACTTCAGCCCCCTTTCCAGTGGAGTGAACGATTTTGTCATGCTGGTGTTCCAGGTGCCACTGGGGTATGAAAAATAACTCCTGCAGCTAGCTTGGTGTCTGCCCAAATGGCCGCCCAGTTTGTACTTGAAACCCACGGCCCTGGTGGTGTAGGCACCCAAGGGAATCTCCTGGTCTGTGGGTTGCAAAGACCTTGGGAAAAGCATAGTGTCTGGGTCGGATAGTACTGTCCCTCATGGCACAGTCCATCACAGCTTCTCTTGGCTAGGGTAGGGAATTCCCTGACACCTTCTGCTTCCCAGGTGAGGCAACAGCCTACCCTGCTTCTGCTCACCCTCCATGGGCTGCCTCCACTGTCTAGCCAGTCCCAATGAGATGAACCAGGTACTTTAGTTGAAAATGTGGAAATCACCTGCCTTCTTCATTGGTCTCACTAGGAGCTGCAGACTGGAGCTATTCATATTTGGCCATCTTGTGTTGACATCTTTTGAGCCAGATATTTTATTTATCCTGATAACTGTTGTAGTGCTAAGAATTTTTTTGTTGATTGCTTTAAATGAACCCATAGATTCTAATATATAGTGTTTATATTTTTAGAAAGTCTATAATCTCAGTGTTTTTCCCTTTTTAGCCAAGTCATGTAATAAGTGTTTTATATTAAGTTTCAATTTAAAAGTTTTTGTTTTTGTCAATGTCTAGTTGTATTGCATTATGATCAGAGTTGTTTTTAATGTTTCTACCTTGAAATTAGAGATATTTTTAGTGTCACCTAATATATGATGAGTTATTGTGAAAGTTTCACAATAACTTTGTAATGTGTTTTTACTTAAACAAGTAAAAACAAGTACATAATAAAATCGGTACTTGAGAAGGTATATTCTCTATTTGAAAAATGTAAATTTCAAAATCTATTCATAAGATCTATCTTATTGAGAGTTTTTAACATGAATGGATGTTGAATTTTACTGAAAGCCTTTTCTGCATCTATTGAAATAATCATGTGGGTTTTGTCTTTAGTTTTGTTTTTTTAGGCCAATGGAACAGAATAGAGAACTCAGAAATAAGACCACACACCTACAATATCAGTATGATATTTGCTGTGGGTTTGTCATAATAGCTCTTACTATTTTGAGATATGTTCCATCAATACCTAGTTTATGGAGTGTTTCTTTTAGCATGAAGTTGTGTTGAATTTTATCAAAGGCCTTTTCTGCATCTATTGAGATAATCATGTGGTTTTTGTCTTTAGTTCTGTTTATGTGATAAATCACATTTATTGATTTGTATATGTTGAACCAACCTTGCATCCCGGAGATGAAGCCTGCTGGATCGTGGTGGATGAGCTTTTTAATGCACTGCTATATTCAGTTTGCCAGTGTTTTGTTGAGGATTTTTACATTAATGTTCATCAAGGATATTGGCTTAAAGTTTTCTTTTTTGTTGTATCCCTGCCAGGTTTTGGTATCAGGATGATGCTAGCCTCATTGCATAAGGGAGGAGTCCCTCCTTTCAAATTTTGGAATAGTTTTAGTGAAAATGGTACCAGCTCTTCTTTGTACCTCTGGTAAAATTCAGCTTTGAATAGGTCTGGTTCTGGGCTTTTTTTTGGTTCAGACGTTATTTATTACTGCCTCGATTTCAGAATTCATTATTGGTCTTCAGGGATTCAGTTTCTTCCTGGTAGAGTCTTAGGAAGGTGTATTTGTCCAGGAATGTACCCATTTCTTCTAGATTTTCTAGTTTATGTGCCTAGAGGTATATATAGTATTCTCTGATGATTGTTTTTATTTCTGTGGAGTCAGTGGTGATAATCCCCTTATCAATTCTGATTGTTCATTTGAATCTTCTCTCTTTTCTTCATTAGTCTAATGTTCTATTTTATTAATTATTTCAAAAAACCAGTTTCTGGATTCATTGATTTTTTTTTTTTTTTTTTTTTTTCCTCTGAAGGGTTTTTCATGTCTCTATCTCTTTCAGTTCAGCTCAGCTCTGATCTTGGTTATTTCTTGTCTTCTGCTAGCTTTGGGGTTTGTTTGTTCTTGGTTCTCTAGTTCATTTAGTCATGATGTTAGGTGGTTAACTTGAGAACTTTCTACCTTTTCGATGTGGGCATATGGTGCTATAAATTTCCCTCTTAACACAACTTTAGCTGTGTTCTAAAGATACATTGTATCTTTTTTCTTAATCATTTCAAAGAACGTCTTGGTTTCTACCTTAATTTCATTATTTACCCAAGAGTCATTCAGGAGCAGGTTATTCAATTTCCACATCCCTTCATGTTAAAAACTCTCAAACTAGGTGTTGAAGGAACATGACTCAATAAGAGCCATATGTGGCAAACCCACAGACAATATCATACTGAATGGGCAAAAGCTGAAAGCATTCCCTTTGAAAACCAGCACAAGACATGGATGCCCTCTCACCACTCTTACTCGGCATGATATTGGAAGTTCTGGCCAGGGCAATCAGGCAGAGAAAGAAATAAATGTATTCAAATAGGAAGAGGGGAAGTCAGACAATCTTTGTTTGCAGATGACATGATCTTATACCTAGAAAGTCCCATCATCTCAGCCTTAAAAGCTTCTTAAGTTGATATGCAACTTCAGCAAATTCTCAGAATACAAAATAAATGTGCAAAAATCACAAGCATTGCTGTACACCAATGACAGGCAAGCTGAGAGCCAAATCATGAATGAACTCTCATTCAAAATTACCACAAAAAGAATAAAATACCTAGGAATACAGCTAACAAGGAAAGTGGAGGACCTCTTCAAGGAGAACTACAAAGCACTGGCAAAGAAATTAGATGACACAGATAGAAAAACGTTCCATTCTCATGGATAGGAAGAATCAATACCATGAAAATGGCCATACTGCCTAAAGTAATTGATAGATTCAATGCTATTCCCATCAAACTACCATTGACATTCTTCACAGGATTGGAAACAGTATTTTAATACTGATATGGACCCCAAAAAACAGCCTGAATAGCCAAGACCATCCTAAGCAAAATAAACAAAGCTGGAGGCATCATGCTACCTGACTTTAAACTTTACTACAAAGCTAGAGTAACCAAAGAAGCATGGTTCTTGTATAAGAACATTCACTTAGACCAATGGAACAGAATAGAGAACTCAGAAATAAGAGCACACACCTACAATCATCTGATCTTTGACAAACCTGATGAAAGCAATGGGGAAATGATACCCTATTTAATAAATGGTGCTAGGAGAACTGGTAAGCCATATCCAGCAAATTGAAACTAGACCCCTTCCTTACACCATATTACAAAAATCAACTCAAGATGGATTGAAGACTTAAATTATGTAAAATCCAAAGCTATAAAAACCCTAGAAGAAAATATAGGCAATACTATTTAAGACATAGGCATGGGCAAAGATTTTATGACAAAAAACATCAAAAGTAATTGAAATAAAAGTAAATATTGACCAAATGGGATCTGATTAAACTAAAGAGCTTCTGCACAGCAAAAGAAACTATCATCAGAAGTAAACAGACAACCTACAGTATAGGAGATAATTTTGCAATCTATCCACCCGACAGAGATCTAATACCCAGCATCTACAAGGAACTTAAATTTACAAGAGAAAAACAACCCCATTAAAAGTGGGCAAAAGACATGAACAGACACTTATCAAAAGAAGATATACATGTGGCCAAAAAACATGAAAGAAAGCTCAACATCACTGATCTTTAGAGAAATGCAAATCAAAACCACAGTGAGATACTATCTCACACCAGTCAGAATGTCTCTTATTAGGAATAAAAAAACAGCAGATGCTAGCAGCGTTTTGGAGAAAAAGGAACACTTTATACTCCCACCAACAGTGTAAAATTAGTTCAACCATTATGGGAGACAGTGTGGCAATTCCTCAAAGACCCAGAGGCAGAAATGCTATTTGGCTCAGCAATCTGATTACCCAATGGAATGTAAATCATTCTATTATAAAGACGCTTGCATGCATATGTTCATTACAGCACTATTTACAGTAGCAAAGACATGGAGTCTACCTAAATGCCCATCAATGATAAACTGGATAAGACAATGTAATATATATATATATATATGTACACATATACGTATATATATGTGTGTGTATATATATATATATATATGTACACATATACGTATATATATGTGTACATATATATATATACACATACACACACACCATGGAATACTATACAGCCATAAAAAGGAACAAGATCATGTCCTTTGCAGGGACATGGATGTAGTTGGAAGCCTTTATCCTCCACAAATGAATACAGGAACAGAACACCAAATACCGCATTTTCTCACTTATAAGTGGGAACTGAATAATGAGAACACATGGACACTTCAAGGGGAACAACACACACTAGGGCCTGTAGGAGGTTTGGGGGTGGGAGGAGGGAGAGTATCAGAAAGAATAGCTAGTGGGATGCTGGATGATGGGATGATCTGTGCAGCAAACCACCATGGCACACGTTTACCTATGTAACAAACCTGCACATCCTACCCATGTACCCTGAACTTAAAATAAAAGTTGGAAATCAAAAAGAAATCTACCTTTATGATTATACTGTTTAGGTGCTACCTCTTATTCTTGCTGTTATATCTCTTCCTGTTCACTTTATCTGTCTTGGACTGAGCATGGTATATGAAAGTCTCCTATTCCTCTACTGTTAGTGTGTTTCTACTGCCTCCCATCAACGCCTGTAATTTTGCTTCCTAATGGCTACTGAAATTCATAACTATCATATCTTCATTGTGAATTGTGACTTATTGTATCTAATTTTAGTTTGCCTTATATCTGAATCAGCCCCTCTTCTTTTTTATTGTCTCACAAATCCTATGAAATGCTTAACTTTGCTACAAAGAAGGCATACTAATTTGTATATAACAAAGGTTCTGCCTTCACTGAACTCCTAGCCTCCCTCTATCACCCAGGGGATAGATGAATCCCTACCTAATTATGTAATAAAGGTAAGATTATGAAAGGTATTATAAAAATAAAGGCATAAATAATACAACAACTACAAAGGCTTCTGGGTATTAATGTAGTACAGTAAAGAACAAACAGATTTCCCAATAATAGGCTAGATCATTTTTTAGTTTTTCATAGGAAGAGAGAGTATTGACTCCTCAACCCCCTCAAAAAAACAAAAACAACAACCTTGGAATAAAGATTGCCAGCAGTAAGCACCCTGTCAGAGTAAATTATTAATTCGACTTACAATGTATCTAAACAGAAATGAAGAAATCATGAATTGGGACAGAGATTAGCAAATCATGGATTGTAGCAGAGAACTCCAAGATAGCTAAAAGAGAATCACCATTAGGTCTTTAAGGCTGATTGGACTTTGCAAATGTCAGAAAATATTACATCATTACAAAGTAGGGGTAGTTATTGAAGAGAGAATTGAAAAAGAAATATGGGAGAGTTTATCAATATCTCAATATTTTATATATGCTTATGATAAAATTTATTTAAATAGATATTTAAAAAGTAATATATATACATATAACAAATGTTCCCTATTTATATAGATTCATCCTATGATGTCATCACAAAGTTAATGTAACTAGTAAGAAAATAGGAATAGATCCAGTTAAAACATATAGGGTATCTTTAAAAGGTGAAGATGAAAAAACTGTTGTATCAAATGGGAGGCATATGTGCTCCAACATGGCGGTATAGACTTCCCAGGTCAAGGAGAAGCAAGGATGGCAGTGGGCTTAAGAGGATGCACTTTGTCATTCATAAGGGATATCTGGTTCAACCTATCACTGTTCTGGAGAATCTGCCTATATGATTGCCAGCTCTTCCGTTGCAAGTAACTGTTACATAACATTCCCAGCAAATCTCTTGCTTGCCATAAGGGTGGGTGAATGGGAGGTAACACACCTAAATGTACTCTCCCCATAGCTGGACTTGTTTTGGGTCTTATTGAAGTATATAGATGAGTTAATGGGTGCAACACACCAACTTGGCACATGTATACATATGTAACAAACCTGCACGTTGTACACATGTACCCTAGAACTTAAAGTATAATAAATAAAAAAGAAAAAGCAACTGTATGAAGAGGTTTTTAAAACATATTTATTTTTTCCTTTAACACAGCAATATATAAAATTAGAACATAAAAGTTAAGCATGCTATGGATTAGCACTATAAAATTATGTTTAAATGAACACATTTTAACATCTAGTTGTAATTTTTAAAAGAAAAAATGATCTCTATGAATATGAAACCCACAATGGAACATAGTTTACATTCTAACTATTTGAAAATGTTAAGTGACATGGAGTAAATCTTATACATAAGTATACTTTGCTAACTTTATGTTCTACTGAAAAATGCATTCCATATTATAAAAAGAAGCTTAAATGTTAGTTTTGAGGTGAATCTAAAAGATGTCAGTGGTAGTTACTATTAAATATTTATGAGCCCACTAGTAAGGACAAATCATTTTCTTAATCTATTTCACTAATAGAAATTATTTATAAGTACATCATTAATTATTTACATTTTCCTGGTATTATGTTTGCATTAATAATTTAAAAATATATAATCATCTATTAAATCATCTAAATATGATTTAACTTCATTTATCTTTTGTTACACAAATAGCAAGTTGATCATTAACTATAGTCATACAAAACAAGGTGTGCCACTATAACAAACATGGATATTTAGAAAGAGTAGTGACAATAGCTTGCATATCTGTCTTTTTCCTCAATATTTGGTCTAATTAATATTCTTAAGAAAGTTTTTGGTTTGTGACCTGTAAGTCCACTAGTTACTACAGACCCTCGAGGTCCCTGACATGTAGAAAGCAAGTTTCTTTCTACAGGCAGCCAATTAACTCTGTAACCTCAGAGTCAAATGCCTTTATACGGCAAGTAAAGACTGTTTATTTATTGTTGTTCTCTGGGCCACATTAAGCATCCTCATTGAGAAAAGATTTTCTGCTGAACAAAATGCTTATCATGACAACTTTGTCCCTTCTCAGATATATCATAACACCCAGAGCTCCCAGAGTTTCACAGGCCTGTAGTTACATCTGGAGTTATAACCAGAAGATAGTATTATAACAATAACTTGACCTACAATAATTTTTTTCCCTTGAGAAGCCTTTTAGGAAAATCTTCACAGGCTGTTCAGAAAAGACTCAATGTGTAGGGTACCGGGGGAAAAGGCCAAGTTATCAGCTGGTTATTTTTTTAGAAGCACACTTTATGTATATTACATGTTTGATAATGAGTCAAGGTGTGAGCAAAAATAACATGAACTGTAAAAATCATCAGCGTGAAAATATTTGTGTTGCAATCTCTGATTACTATCCTCTGTTACAGACTGTTATGTGCTTAATTATATCCTTCCAAAATTCATATGTTGATGTCTTAACCTCAGTATCACAGCATGTGACTGTACTTAGAGTGTTTAGGCCAGGCATAATGGCTCAGGCCTGTAATCCCACTACTTTGGGAGGCTGAGGTGGGTGGATCTCCTGAGGTCAGGAGTTTGAGACTAGCCTGACCAACATGGCAAAACCCTGTCTCTACTAAAAATACAAAAATAAGGCAGGCCTGGTGGTGTATGCCTATAATCCTAGCTACTCGGGAGGCTGAGGCAGGAGAAACGTTTGAACTTGGGAGGCAGAGTTTGCAGTGAGTCGAGATCATGCCATCGCACTTCAGCCTGGGCAACAAGAGTGAAACTCCGTCTCAAAAAAAAAAAAAGGTGTTTAAGGAGGTAAAATCTGGTCATAAGCATGGGTGCTAATCCAATATGACTAGTGTCCTTAAAAGAGGAGATTAGGACACAGACACACATACACACACAGGGAAGACTATGTGAAGACATAGAAGGAAGGTGGACATCTGTAAGTCAAGAAGAATAGTTTCAGAAGAAGCCCTCTCTGTTGACACCTTGATTTCGGAATTTTAGCCTCCAGAACTGTGAAAATCGATTTCTGATGTTTAAGGTATCCAGTACTTTGTTTTGGCAGCCTTAGCAAACTAATATATGGACCTTTTCTCATGTACAAATCCCAGTTCGTATTCTGGGCGTGTAATTCCAATTGTTCAGATCCAGTGTCCTCATATGGGACACTAGAAGCAAGACTTGAAGACAGCGATTTTTCCTTGTTTACAGAGTAGTAGCAGAGGGAATTTAGAGTCCAAACTTTAATTGCTTACCATTTTGGCTTTGAGCAACAATACCATTTGTAATGCTTAGTTTAAGGAAGACAGTTTATGCAAATAACCTTTTTTGAACGCTTTATTAACAGAGTCTTTCTCCAACCTTTCCTGACAGCCCGAATACCACTGGGTGTTCAAGCTAATCTGAAGGTTAAACCTCCCAGTAGGGTTCTAAAATAAAGCTTTGACATGGCCCCAAACTCAGAATCTTTGAGAAAGAAACTGCTATTTTCGTATTTTCAGAAATTTGGCCTAATGCAAGAGATCTATATATCTCTACATTTATATCTATATTAATTCTATAAATAAGCTCATGGACTATCCCAAGTAATAGAGACTTCAGTTTTGTTAATTTAGTGGCTCGTTCTCTGATAATCTTGACCTTGATGCCTCTATAATTTTTGAACCTGTAATTAGACATGCTAAGTATGCAAAGCTATTTACTGATTTCCAGTTATGCTGTTTCAGGTTACAAATGTGAAAAAAAATTAACTGCTTCCATAGCAAGATGACCCAAAGGGCCACTTTAGGACAATGGGAGCTACTGTGCATAAGAAATAGGGCTGATGGCAACATGTATATCTTTTTAATTTGAGGATTATGTTGGAAATGAAACATAGTCTCCAAGGTGAACAAGTGCTTTTGCTAGAGTACTTAACCCTAACTATGAAACTAGCATAAATTACCTGATTGTTATTAACTGGTGTTTAACTTCTCTGCACTTTTAACACTTATTATATTGGAAAGTATGTTCTTAAAAAAAAAACGTATTCATAGGTGATTAGGATGCCCTTTTCTTTTATATTTAATGTTTTAAAATCATGTACTTTGAGTACCCACCAACATATCAATTATTTAGTCATTACAAACGTGGGTGAGAAGTCATTACGGTGATAATGAGGACACAGTCCAAGTGTAAAAGGAAGTTCCCTAAATTGCAGCAATGAGCTATGAAAATGATATTAAATTGTTCATTTCAAAAAAAGATTTTCATAGCGATTCCCTAAACTGGATGGCAACACGGAATATGCAACAGTAGCAAATACTTACACTCACAGAGAGCTATGGCATTTGGGAAATCATTCTGTTGTATCAATAGGAAGTTATTCTCTGAACTCTCCTCCAGTTTTTGAATATTTAATGACTGAATGCTATTTAATTGGAAAAAGTTCTTCATAAGAAGGTAGTGTGACCCAAATTTTTGAAAGAAGAAAATGTTTTACTCCTTCAGGAAGTCATTTCTAGATAGAATTCTTAAGAGCATAGCATAAAGAAGGTGGGATACCCCCTAAATCTCTGGATTTGCTTAGGCACTATCACAAATATAATGAAACAAGCCCTCTGTCCAGGAAAAATAAATAAATAAATAAAATAAAAACTATTTAAAAACCTAAAATTGCTGTGAACATTTCCAAGTCTCACTAAGATTTTTTTCTGGAAAAAATAAAACAATCATAACCTAATACCTGGGTAAATCGATATGACAGTATTTTATTGTTTACATAAACAATGGAACATTTTCAGTGTGGTCATTCCTCTGGGCCACTGAGAAAAGAGGCAATGACATTAGCAGGCAACCAAATAACATCCTTCAAACAATACTTTTTTCAATTTTTTTTTTTTTAACTAAAAATTATTTCCAGAATTGTTAGCAGATCATTTGAGCAGACAGTGGTAGAGTGAGGGGGGAAGAAGCAGCCATGGAATTTGGTCATGAGAAAAAAGGGATCCCAGCCAGGCACAGTAGTACCTACCTCTAGTCCCACCTACTTGGAGGCTGAGGAGGAAAGATTGCTTGAGCCCAGGAGTTTGAGTCCAGCACCAGGCTAATTTTTTCTTTTATTTTTGTAGAGACCAAGTCTCACTCTGTTGACCAGTCTGGTCTCTAACTCATGACCTCAAGCGATCCTCCTGTCTTGACCTCCCAAAGTGCTGGGATTTCGAGTGTGAGCCATTGCACCCAGATAATATCTACTTTTAAGATACAAATCTCTTTTTTTACTTTAAAAAAGCCAGAAATTAAGATTTTAATTTGAATTTCCCAATTTGTAAGCATTGGCAATTCATCATAATTATTTAGTGTATAATGGCAAAGCCAACGCTATGCTAGCTAAATAAAATATGCATAAGCCAAATCTGGTCTATGGGCTACCAGTTGAAGTCTTCTGATTTACATTAATGTGATACATATATTCCCATAAAGAGGGTTAAATATAATTTATAAGTATTGAGTGTGTATGTGCATGTGTGTGTGTGTGTGTGTGTGTGTATGTGTGTTGGGTGGAAGGTTGAAGAGAAAGAGCTATCATCTAAATTATATAAAATCAAGGTGATTATAATAAGAATAGTTTCTAAATAATGGACTGATAAGAAGTCCATCTACAAATTACCAAGTACAGGTAAATCCCAGAAGAACAAATAGCAACAATCCATTGAGATTGAGATTTAATATGTATATTGTCTATATAGAATTGATTAAAAGATTCTATACAGCATACAACCTTCAGTAATAAGAAAAATAATTAGAAAAAGTCACTTTAATTTTGATACTACTACTTGATCACCACTATCTTTATTACTTGCTGCCTGTTATCGCACTAGGTATCTGTCATTGTTCTCAGTATTTTATATGCATTGTATAATTTAATCCTTATGATAACTCAATCAAGAATAGGCACTACTTTATCCCATTTCAGAGTTCAGGAAAATAAGTCTTAGAGAGGTTAGGTCATTCATCAACAAAGGTAACTATTTCACATTTTTTCCTTGCAAACTGGTAGCCTATGGGAGCAATATGTGTTTCAGTTAGTCATTAGAAGGTTTTTTGTTTTGTTTTGTTTATTTTTTATTTTATTCTATTTTTCGAGATGGATTTTCTTTCTTGTTGCCCAGGCTGGAGTGCAATGGTGCAATCTTGGCTCACCGCAACCTTGGCTCACAGCAACCTCTATCTCCTGGGTTCAAGCGATTCTCCTGCCTCAGCCTCCTGAGTAGCTGGGATTACAGGCACGCACCACCACACCCAGCTAATTTTGTGTTATTTTAGTAGAGACAGGGTTTCTCCACGTTGGTCAGGCTGGTCTCAAACTCCCAACCTCAGGTGATCTGCCCGCCTCAGCCTCCCGAAGTGTTAGGATTACAGGCATGAGCCACCACACCCAGCCAGTCAGAAGATTTTAAAAATTCAAGTTTTTTGGATACCATTTGAATAGTCACCTACTTCCCAGGTCTTCATTATCCACACATTTCTTGTGTTACATATAGTGGCATCACTCATCAGTGTTAAATGAGCCTCATACTCCTCTCCTTACCTCTTTCTAATCTCCAAAAATGTGCCAGAAAATTAAGTGATATGAAATGGCAAATGCATCTAGTCTGTACATGGCAACTGATATCAATAAGTTTGCTTCCCTTCTTGTGATATAATTCATCCCCTCCAAATCTCATGTTGAAATGTGATCCCTAATATTGGAGGTGGGGCCTAGTGGGAGGTTTCTGGGTCCTGGGGGCGAATTCCTCATGACTGGCTTGGTGCCCTCCCTGTGGTAATGAGTGAGTTTTCACTCTATTAGTTCACAGGAGAGCTGGTTGGTTAAAAGAGCATGGCATCTATCTTGCTCCCTCTCTTGCTGTGTGACACATTGGATCCCCTCTCTCTTCTGCCATGATTGGATGCTCCCTGAAGCCTCACCAGAAGCATATGCTGGCACCATCCTTCATGTATATCCTGCAGAACCATCAGCCAAATAAACTTCTCTTTTTTTAGTATAAATTACCCAGTCTCAGCTACTCCTTTATAGCAACACAAAAGAGACTAACATACCTTGAAATCATGATACTTTTGGACACTGTTACTCTTTGGGTAATATTGGGAACTAGCCTTCAACTCCCTTAAGCCCTTTTTCTTTTAAAACAGAGACTTGGGGATAGGCAATCCTGTACAAGTTTCTAAAGAAGGAAAATGATCTAATTACTGACTAATATAGTAAAATGCATCTAGCTAGTTGAATTTCAGTATAGTGATGTACATCTGGCTGAACTTGAATTTAAAGCTATCATAGGTTTTATACTATGATCTTTACAGCTTTATCTTTTCAAAACTAAATGGCTATGTATATATATGCTAATACAGTTTATGCATACATGCCTTATATAGGTCCTTACAGATAACCTTTTGGTGTTACAATCAACATATGCTCCTACATTTCAGACTTGAGACATCGGGGTTTTAGAAGCTCATTGTGAGTTGGCACCAGTTTGGAGAATTAGGGAGAATGTAATGGTTTCTTATCCTTAAGTTTTAAATGGCTTTGATACTGGAACTGATGAGAAATAAGTCAATCTCCAGACAGAGGGGTTAAAGTGGGAGTGTTAGTTTTCTATTGCTGTGTAACAAATCACCACTAGTTTAAAGACTTAAAAGAACACTCATTTATTATGTATTTTTGTAGGTTAGAAGTCTGGGTGTGGACTAACTGGACCTCTCTGCTCAGGGTTTCATCAGACTGCAATAAATGTGCTGATTGGGGATGCACTTTCATCTGTGGTTCAGAGTTCCCATGCAGTCTCAGTGGGTGTTGGCAGAATTGATTTCCTTCCAGGTGTATCAGTAGCAACCCCATTTGCTTACTGGTTGTTCTCCGCTACTAGAGGCAGCCTAGCCTGCTGTTCTGTGCCATGTGACCCTCTCCACAGTGCAGCACTTGGTACCTCTTAGGCCAACAAGACAGCATCCACCACAGCTTTTAATTTCTGACTCTTCTCCTCTTTGACCTCCAGGTCCTTTTTGTACAAAGACTCGCCTTATTATATCAGGGCCACACTTTCTCAAAGACAGGGAGTCATACAGGGTGTGAACATCAGAGGGCCAGGAACTTGGAGCCATCTAAAGATTCCACCCCCTACAGCAGGGGAATTAAGAATCTTGCCATAGGAGCCTCACTAATAATTGTGAGTGCTTTTTTTCAAGTTATATTTTCCAGGAATAAAATGAAATAATGTGTGTGGGTTCGATTGCGCCATGGTTCTGTGAGACTCATTCACGCGGATTTGAAAATCTAACATTGTCACTGTTGTGTAGATCTATTTATACAAACTTTTTTAAAAAAACATAAAATTTTAAAATAACATTGTATAAAATAACTTTTGCCATGTCCAGAATGTCTACTGAATACCGCTATTTTTCTCTTCTTTATTTCATATTTAAATTTGATTAGACTTGGCCTAAATAACTTCCTTGGTGGTAATATACGTTCCACATGGACTTATATCTAATACGTGAGTTATATTTTACATGACACTTTGAATAACAACTATTGATTGCTGATTACATTAATATCTATATGCTGCCATAAACAATGTTTATGGCCCTATAATTGATAACACTATTAGTGCTACCTACTTGTAAGACCTGCAATTATGTTGCTATAAAGGTAATTGATAGTTAGAGGAATAGTATCTAACCTGCATCTTAAATCCATAAAGCAATGTTTTTTTTCGCCAAAAGTGGTGATTAAAATAATTATTTAAAATATTTTGTTTAATTGGCAAGGATAGTAACTGAATTTTTTTTTCCTCTTAGGACCTGGCCAACTTATAATTTTTGTTACCTACTACCTCCATTACTTTAAAGATTATCCTAGTGTGAGTTGGTTTAAAAAAAAAGTGATACTGATGGATTTTGTTTAGCAAATCTGTGATTTGGGTGTTTTTGATTTTTTAACCTGGTAAATAGCTTATAGATCTTTAATAGGTAATGTTTTAGAATTTTTCCTTGGGTTCATTTATAACGTAAGCGGATGGACTGTCAACTTTTGATTTGATATTCAGAAGCTTATTTTTCTTTTTGGCTTGCTTTTTTTTTTTTTTAGAGTATTAAATGTTATTTCTATAGAATAACTTATCAACAAAGAATAATTGTTTTAAAAAGTGCCTCTCTCAGTGTGTAATGCCATTTTAGCCTGCATGAAAATAGTATGATTCTGAGAAAATACATGCTTGAATAAGGTAAATAAAACTTCAGAGCCTTATTTACTTCAGAGAATAACAGCCTGTCTCTTTTTGTTCGACCTAAAAATAAAAATTCTGAATTTTCTTTTCAAAAGCTATTTGAGTATTTTTCATTGCAATGTGTTTATTAAATAACTATAACATAACTATAAAAAGTGTAACATTTCCCCACCCAAAATACACCCAGACATACTTTCCTCTTCAGAATGAATATATCCTAATAGTATCCTTTTAATTTTATATTATATATTATATATATTATTATATAATATATATTATATAATAATATGTCCTAATAGTATGCCTTTTAATTTTCATCTTAATTTCAAGAAATCAAGACCAAAATAATGAGGCCTTAAAACGATGAGATGATTAAAACTTTACACATATAAACCTGTGCTACCTATGCTATTGGTAGTTTCATTGGTTAGTTATTTAGTTGACCATTTTGAGCAAATAATTCTACTTATTTGGAATATAGATTTTCCTGATCCGAAAATAAATTTATGCACATGAATTTAAAAACATACATAATTTTTAAAATTTCAAATGCTTTTCATCCCACTTCAGTTTGATAATAAATGTTATACCTGAGATAAGATTTAAAATGAATTTTTTTTTGTTTCGTTTTGGGCTTTTGTTTTTTAACAGTCCTAGGGCAATTGCAAAAAATTGGAGAGATCAGGAAAGAATTTTAGCCAATATTTAACTAGTGTAAAAATCACATTTTGTTTTGATTTCCTTTTTTAAACTCTAACTCGTCAGTTTCCAGGAAAAGCAGAAATGTACAGTAAAATGCTCACAACCAAGTCTAATCTCAGCATAAAACTTACTGTCAGCATGAATAAAATCCTTATGCTATAAAAATATATGACTATCTATTGCCAGCTCTAAGAGTTTTCACAAATTATTCACAAAACACAAGAAAGAACCTAAAGGAAAGTTGAATGTTTATTTTCTGTAATACAAAACAAATAGCTTGGTAGCAAGATTAGAGGATACAATAAATAAGAACTTAAATAAAATTAACATTTCCAGAAGGAATTGGTGAGGTTAAGTGCCTGGAACTGTCCGTTACCCCAAATTTATGTAGCAAGCGTTCATTAACTTCAAATGAGGGGCTTCATACTCTATTTAATAAGGTATCACATGGAGTCCCTTTCCATTTACAGTATGTTCCTAAAGGTGAAAACAGCAGGAAAACGAAATTACTTCATTTACCGGAATTACAGCTTCTTTTGTATAAAACTTGAATCATTTTATATATGACAACCTTATGCTTAATGTTTTTAGAATATTCTTCATAAAACATTATTTAGCAAAAGCATACTCTCCCACTGAGCGCATTGCTGCTTTCAATGGCTGTGCTAATCTAGTTTGAATATATGCAGCATTTAATCTTAATTATGATGCCGAAGTCTATACAACGTTAATTATTCATTTCACATGCTCCCTCCACTTTATTGTAACTCCTACTTTGCTTAACAAAATGTAGCTTTTAATTAGAACTGTGGAATTGTTGGGGCAAGGTGCTGTTCTGAGTGTGTGCATGCGGGTGTGTGTGCAAGCGGACACGCTTTCCATTGGTTTGGAAATGCATAAGGGGAGAAGCGTAGTATAGAAGTAACAGAAGTTAATACTTGTAATTCAAAAGATAAAATTCCTGGTAGGTGTAATTTCCTTCTGAGGTAACTGTTTCTTGGTTTCTTAGAGTTGAAAACGAAAGTAGAGATACCTGGTTGCCATTTTAATAATGGACAATCGTTGGGCTGTAGTTAGTGTGTATATCTCTTTAAATATTGGCATGGCAGGTCACACACAAAAAAGCACATGCCAAGAAAATTAGCCGATGAGGCTTTTTTTAATCCATGTCATTAAGAATATCTGACTGAAATAGTATATTAGTAATGTTTATGTATTTATTCAACTCATGACATAAATTATATAACACAAAATAGTTTGTAAAAAAATTCAAAAAGTGATATATATTTGCTTAAAGTCTAAATGCTTGATATTTTTCAATGTTTCCCTAATTTTTGTTATTTTGTGGATGTTAATATTAATTTTAATATACTTTAATAGTTTTTATTTAAAAAATAAGGTTTAAAATTTAAAATCATAAGTAAAACTTCATATTCCAGCTTTAAAAAGAAATCATTATTTTAAAATAAATTGAAAATTACTAAAGTTTTTTCATTTACAGTTTATCACCATACAGTCACCAAAGGACCCATTCTACACCTATTTAAACAGTGTACATACCAACTTAGAATTTTAGGAATGAAGCCAAATATCTCTAAAATTATGCCCTGGATAAGTTGTACATAAAGACAAGGGATTATAATGTTTTGTATACATTTACTATAAATTTTGAGAAAGGTCATTTAAAATCAACAACAAAAAAGCCCATAAGATCACGGTGATCCCTGTTGGTAATTCTGTATACTAATATATCGTGTACAAAAATGATGTTATGGTTGTGAAATAAAATTTTAAACTGACTAATTGTATCTAGATAGCTATTATCTTCCAAATAGACAGGCATATATTTCCTCAAAAAAAGCTAGATTGACTTATGGATACATAAAGATACAGAATATCCTAATCATTCTGATAGTATTCTTTCCTAATAAATATGTTTGGCAAGTGAATTAGCAAAAGGAATTAGTTTTGTCCTTAAACTGGACTTAAGTCATGAAATCAACAACTGCATACTTCAGATTTTAGTGGTCATAGCAACTCTTAGTGTAGTCTTCATCTTCTTACAGGACACTGTTTTACTCATTAAGTTCCTTTTTTAAAAAGTCAAGTGTAATTATTTAATATTTTCTGTTTCATTGCTAATGTGTATAAATAGCTACAATGTATTGAGCTGTCCTTTAATTTTACAATTACCCATATGGTAGCTACCATTATTAGTCCCACTTTACAGATGAAGAAATTAGAAATTTAGGAGGACTGAGTGACATCCAAGATCATCTAAGATTTCAACCCAGGCCTGACTCCAGAAACTGTGCTTTCAACTGTGTGTTCTCTGCCTTCATTTGGTTATAACCTCAGTTCTGTGTCCACTAACATTCAGTGCAACCAAACCCTGTCTCTAAAGGCGGGACTGTTTGATCTAGATCTCCATTCTCCTTGGACCCCTATGTTCACTTATACAGAGGTTAAATCTTCATCTTGTATCAAAAGAATAGATGGGTTAAAGTAAATGACTATGAATGATTGCGAATATTGGTACTGTTTGGTAAAAATTCTAACAATGAAAAAAATTCATCTGAGAGGACAGAAGGGGTAAATATACCCTAATTTAAGAATACTATATGTATTCACATATTAAGATTTTGTTTCTGACCAGCAAACACTTTACTCCTGTTACTTTCTGCTCCACTAAATAAGATATGAGACTGTATGATATTTATGTGGTTAGGAGCACAGAATCTGCAGACAAGCTGTGTGTGTTTAAACTTCATCTCTGCTGCTTACTAGCCTAGAAAGTTCCAGGAGTTGACACAGCCTCTTTTGTGCCTCACTTTCTTCATCTGTAAAATGTGTGTAATATTTCTTACCCCATAGAATGGCTTGAGGATAAAATGTTCTACTAGATGCCAAGTGTTATAAACAGTCACTGAAACATTGTCCTTTGTGTATAAGTGTTTGCTTTTACTCACAGAATCTAAGAAGCCGATTTTAAGGAATGTCTAGATTTTAGGAGACATTAAAATGTTAAAAGAATTTCTTAGATTTTATGAAATACACTGTTTTTAAGTTATAAACTGCTAAGACTAGTCCGCATACAATATCTCTTCTCTGCCTTAAGACTTAGAACTCTAAGTCCATATGTCTTGTTTGTAAAAAAGTCTACTTTTATTTATTATGTCTGTTTTAAATATCTTAACAATATTCATCAAATTGTTCAGGTAGAACTTCTGCTTTCAAGAAACATAAACACAAAGAAATTGCTAATGGTATTGAGGGGCAGTAGCTGAGCCAGTTTTTATATATACCCAAATCCTCTGGATAAATACAAAGCATCCACTTATGTTTTTTTCTTCATAAATCACATAAGCCTAGCATCACATAAAATTTAAGATTCCTGGAAACAAAGCACAAAAGATAATAACTTCTCTTATTTTTATTTCCATTTTTATTTCCATCCTCCATGTGCTACTCACCTGATAACCTTGTCTTAAGAAAAAAGGAGGGGGATTCTTTCAAATTATGCTTTTAATCTCACCGTAAGTATTTCCCATTGTATTCACTCATAAGCTTTTCTATCTCCTTAATAACTATTTAGTTTTGCTTCTAATTCTTTCACTCTGCCCAGTCCCAGAGACTATCTAACTAATCTTGAGATGTGCACTTAGTGCGGAGTACTGTAAGCCAATTTTCTTTTATTGAACTTTTACACCCTGGGGAATTCCCAAAGATTGTGAAGCTCTATGGAGCTTTTCTGAAACATAAGCCTGCCTACCCCTTCTGTCCCTCTCTTTGAAATGAAAAGCTCTACCTTTGTGGTCTGAATTTAGTTCTATTCACCATCTCACCATCACACTAAGCTGCCTCTGAAGTTTGCCCCCCATGTAGTTCTAAGTTCTAAAGTCACGTGGTCACTGTCTTTTCTGAGCTGCTTTTCCTGCCTCCTCTTTGGTGTCTCTCCGCTTTGCCATCCTGTTTAGGCATCACCCAGGATACCATGTTCTCTCTGATGTTTTCTCAGTTGACTTCCAAGTCTGGGAGGGCCTTGTAACATGTTTCTTCTTCTTCTCTGTTTTGTTGCCGATTGGTTGCCAGTTGGTTGCCACTTTGTTGTTGTTGGTAGAGAGATGTGCGACTGTTTGAAATAGAATGCTTTGCTGTGTTGCAGCGTGTCAGAAAAACCCAGGAAAATTACGTCTGAAAAGTTTTCAGTGTTTGTTATCCCATGTCATCCTCCTCATCTCTGTATGTAATCGTAATTACTCCCCATTTTTACCAGTGCAGAGAAGTAATTTACTCATCGTCACATGTTATTTGACAGAGCTGGGGTTTAAACATCATTCCCTGAAATTTCAATGCCTGATTTTCTTTTCTATGATGTAGTATGATGTAATCTTGCTTCTTGAATATTCTCCTACTTCATTTGTCCCTCACTTAATACAGCAGTTGCTGATGAGGGCTTGGTTCTTGTGTCACAGTGTGTATTGTGGTATTTATAAGTATTTGGTTACGGAACTCAAAAAATAACTATACAGGAGTTAATGAGCGCATATAAGAATTATACTAACTTTGTTTGTTTGTTTTAAGATATGGGGTCTTGCTCTGTTACCCAGGCTGGAGTTCAGTGGTGCAATCATAGCTCACTATAGCCTCAAACTCTCCTGGGTTTAAAAGATCCTCCCTCTTCAGCCTTCCAAGTAGCTAGGATTACAGACACACATCGCCATGCCCAGTTAATTTCTTTATTTTAATTTTTGTAGAGACAGGATCTCACTATGTTTTCCAGGCAGGTTTCAAACTCCTGGCCTCAAGCAATCTTCCCAATCTCTCCCAATCTCCCAATCTCTCAAAATGCTTGAATTATAGGCATGAGCCACCATGCCTATGGAGCTGACCAACATGGTGAAAACCAAAATTATAACAACTATTATAACAACCTAATTCTGGAGGTTTTCTGAGAGCAGAATTTCCATTTTACTATTCAGTGGGAGTTCTTGCTTGGAGATGTTTTCCAAAGCCAGTCCTAACATATTGAGCTTCCATTTGAATGGCTGCCAGAGACCTACTGAAGAGAGGAAGCACATCTCACAGTGCCTGGAGCTCCAGGAGGTGCTCAGGCTCTGCCACCCAGGTGGGGCTGTCACCAGCTGACACCCAGTGCAGAGATGATATGAACGCCCATGAGTCAATTCCCTCTTGTCTCAACAAAGCCATGGTGGGCAGCTCTCTGCTGTGCTCAGTGACTCCACACATACAGGCACCTCTCCCATGCCCATAGGTTTGCTGTAAGCTTTCAGTTAACATTTGTGCAGTCATAATATTCTGGGTTTTTTTTAAATAAGTTAAAAATCTCATTTTTAATCATCTCCCACCTGTACCTGTTTGGTTTACCCCAAAACTCCTTTAGGGAAGTTTTAGTTATTTTTTTAAAATATCTCACCCCTAGGTGCCTGGCCTACTGTTGCTCACACACTAGAAATTCCTTAATTGTTCGTGGTTAACCTACTGCCTAACTAGGTACTCTGTGACTTTTTATTGTTAACTAACTACAATTAACTGACTAATTAGAACACAATTTGTGATACTAACTCCTCTCATGATTATAGTAAAAACAATATTATCTTAATTAGCTTTTACCAAAAAGACTCTGGCATTGTTTTCTAATAATAAGTTTTTCCCTACACTCCGGTTAAAAGAAATACAGAAGTTAAATATGTAAAACCACATTAAAATATGTTGGAGCTAGTAAAAATAAAATAGCTTGTTTATTAGCCCTCTCTCTCTCCCCTTTCCCTCTTCTCCTTCCTCTCTCCCTTACCTCGTTATAAAAATGTTTTACTGGCTGGGCGCAGTGGCTCACGCCTGTAATCCCAGCACTTTGAGAGGCTGAGGTGGGCAGATCACAAAGTCAAGAGATTGAGACCATCCTGGCCGACATGATGAAACCTCGTCTCTACCAAAAATACAAAAATTAGCCATGTGTCGGGGTGCATGACCGTAGTCCCAGCTACTCGGGAGGCTGAGGCAGGAGAATCGCTTGAACCCGGGAGGTGGAGGTTGCAGTGAGCCGAGATTGCGCCTCTGCACTCCAGCCTGGGTGACAGAGTGAGACTCTATCTTAAAAAAAAAAAAAAAAAAGTTTTTCTCTAATAGTAGATAGTTTCAAATATATTCAGGAAATATAATCTTTGGGAATCTGTTGCTTTGTTAAGAAAAATGAATGGAACTTCTCTTACTCCAACAGAAAAGTAGAAGAAAATATGCACAGACCTGATTCAAATGCTGGTGTTTTTTTGTTTGTTTGTTTGTTTTGAGGTGCGTTATTTCTTTTTTGTTGTTGTTTAAGCAAAGTGTTAATTAGAAGACACTCCAGGACTCACAGTCCTCCAGTGTTACTGGGTCCAGGAGCACTGGAGCCAGCAGTGGCTTTCTTGGTGCTGACACATCATGCTACTTTACATGGGGTGGGGGTGGAGAGCTGAGGTTTCAAGTCAGATTTAGAGACTTATGCATTGCACTGTCTAAAAATAGAAACACTGTATAAGTGATAGGCTCATTAAGTTTGGAGGACAGATGCTAGCAAGCCCAAGGAAGGACATTGTGACTAACTAGAATGAAAAGAGTTTCAAGAAACAACAAAGTTGAAAAGCATTTTCTGATTTTTTTAATGTGTCATAGAAGGAAAATATATGATGGGAACAATAATTTTTACATATTTTGCTAACATATCAAACACAATTTTACATATTTTTATCATAATTATTCAAGTATTTTATACATATGAAGATGTTGGAAAAGGGCACATAGTGGAAACAGATGGATGTCTTAATGCTCTTTGGGATACAAGTCACAGAAACCTACTGGCACTTGTTTACACAAAAGTAAGGAATTTGCTATTAAATACAAGGCTAGCTCATGGAATTGGAGGGGAAGAAAGACACTTCCACCTTAGTAGAAACAGAAGGAGACTTAGAAAGCGATCCAGTTCCATGACCTCGGACTCCTTTAAGTTGCATAGTCTTACATCTTTGTTTCATCTATTCTCTGTTCTTTGCACTGCACTTGAGTGGCAAAACTCTACCCCATGGTTTCAAGTAACCTACCTTTAGTTCACAGGCACAGCAAAACTTGATCTGCCTCTCTATGTCCAATTCCAGCTCATGAAGAGGAAATGTGATTTTTCTCTCCTGGGGCAAGTATTCAGCCCTAGTCCAGTTGAGGATCTTCAGGGAGCAGGGCCATGGAGTAAACAATAGGGTTGCTGGAGTCTACCTTATATATGGCGGTATAATTGTTACGGAGAAAGGAGGCTTTGTCTGGGAGTGCACTCCAAAGATATCTACTACAAAAGAGACTAATTGGTACATGAGACAATGGTGAGAAGGAAAACATGAGTGAGCTTTCATTTTTGAAATAGTCATAGAATTAAGACAGGCAGGGAAGTCTGCTGGATACTATTGTTTAAAAAGTGAACATTTAAAATGGCTTCTGTTTAAAATTTGATTTAAAGGCCCTGTCAAACCCTTTGAGATGACTTATAAATATCTAATAACGTTGTTCTTTCCCTCAACTGTATAAATGACAAGAAACCTGTGGTATGGACATTTCTAAGAAGTATAATTACCATTATCACTATGAGATGTGTTCTAAGGTTAATGATCGCTACTTGGGATTTACTATCCCTGACTATAGCATTGAACTATCATTTTTCTTCCCACTAATTTATAGAAAGTTGCTTAAAGTTTGAAACCAAAATGTCTAATTAAAAAAATGATTAGTCAGCTCAGATAAAATGTACACTACATAATGATAAAAATGGCTAACAATGTAAGTACTATTCTTATTTATAAGAAATATTTACATTTCTTTTTTTTTATAAAATGAAAACTGAAGAAAAATAAGGAAACACTCTCAGAGTGGTTTGGGAGGATAATTGAATTCTTCAAAATGTAAAATTTGAAGTTATCCCTTTAAAGTTCCTTGGTCGTCATTTTCCCAGTGAACTTATTCAATATTATTAATGATGACAGCTAGTTGAATTCTATCTCCTGAATGTTATTGACTCATGTTGTCTCATATTTTCTCACTTTAAAAGACTTGAATTGAGATATACATATATTATTGATTTCTACAGTGAATTTTTAAATACACTATTTAGAAGTCCCAGAGAAATTTTTTCCCAATGAATTAGAATTCAACTTGCAAAAGAGAAAATGAGTGATTAAAAATAGCCCATACATTTCTTCTCATAGTTTATAGTAGACTCATTTTAATTTTCAAATGGTATAAATACTTCAGTCTACCCTTTTGTACAAATGAATGATAGGAACTATGACAAATTAGCAATTGTTGTGCCAATGACTTTGAAACCTATGAGTAGAAGATATTCAATAGTTATCAATTTCTGGTTATCACATTTTTGTTTTAAATCTAATTTTAGGCTGCCACAATTGTTTATTTAAAAATTCTATACTTTAGAAGAGCACATTTTCAAGAGTTACAAGAATGTTTTTCTTTAAAATACTCTCGTAAGTGCTGGATTAAATATAATATTTCAAGTTGGTCAAATATTTCCCAAACTTTTAAATTGTCAGAGTTGTAAAAGGTAATGTTGTTTAGGCTTATCTAATGGTTATCTTAATTAAAGGAGAAGGAAAATCTTAAATTAATGTCATGATCAGGCCACATGGTTATAAGTTAAATAATTCATTTTTTTCTGCAAATATGAGGTCTCTGTGTCCACAAAATCTGTCTCAGATTGGCTCTTTTCTTGACAATAGAGAACTGAGCAATGATACTGATTAGCAGATAAAAGATAGTTCCTGAAGTTTTAAAATTGTATTTGAAAGTTTTTCAAAAATAGTTTATTTCTACTCTTCTTGAATGCATCATTAGCTACTCAGAACTTAACTAGTGTTTGCCCCACAGAATATTCTCTTGAAATAAATTTAAACTAGCATGAATGCTCTTCGTATATGATAAGGGCTCAAGAAATGAAAAAATTAATTGCTGTTACACTTCATATGATATTGTGACTGGATTGGTTCTATCACAATTGTTTGGGAAAATTACTATAACCTTCCTTATTCTCAGTAAAAATAGTTGTTTTTCTAGATGTATTAACGCTGAGGCAAAAATTACCTTTAAAAAACCTAGCACTGTCAATGATAGAAATAGATAAGTATATATTGATGTTTATGAAGAAATTATTTAGTAACTGGCATACGGTTTGGGGAATAAAAATAAAAGACGAGTAATAGAAATTTATCTGAAGAACTAATCTCTTCTGCAATGCTTTATTTTGCAAAATGGCTTCCAAAATTATTATGTCAAAGAAGATTATCACATTTTGTGTAATTCATCAGAAATTGACCTATTAAACAACTCTAATTGTGCTTCTCAATTATATTAATGCAAAGCTAAGTTAGATATACTAGAATATATTGTGATTTTAAACATATCTAAGCAAAAAGCTAGGGGAAGAAAAATGTGCTGTGCATAATTATTCAACACACACAAAAAAGGCTGGATTCCATTGACTTAGTACCTTTGCCAGGTTTTCTGGGTACAAAGTCAAAAATTCTCAGCTTTATAATTTATAAATAAAAAATGTTTGATATAAGGTAGACAAAACATTCAGGTGTATGATCACATTTTTCACTTTTCTTTCAGTAGCATTTTGTAGACAAAAATCTCTAAATTTGGAGAGTGGAACATTTTTATTAGAGCTGATATTTCTTATGCATTGTATTACCAAACTTAATCATCCTGCCATTTACAAAGTTAGAAGTACTCTAATATTATCTATAGTGATCTAAAAGAAAAACATGCACCCTCAAATTTTGTACTATGCCTACTTTTTGTCTTAGTATAATAGATTGTAATATTTTCAAATATTCCTTCTGTTGAATGGCTCATTCATATTCGAACTGCCTGCTTATGAAAGGGAAGTTAGGAACACAAGTACCTGCGTAGAAAATGGGCAACATATTGGATTTGGCACCAGCATATAATAGGCCCCTTTTCTGTATCAGTGGCAGAACTATTGACTCAACATAGAAGATCAGACAGAATACGTAAGTGTTTGTTTCTCTTGTCAAAGGGATATATATTAAATGTTACATTTTAAACTTTATGTCCAACTCTAATACCCTCCACAGAAAAATTACTGGAGTAATTTCTATGCTGTCCACTCATTCTTTCATTCATTGGTCACGTATTACTTAAAATGTGGTTATATAGTACCTACCACAGATAATAGCGTCAATTTGGTAGCTAGACTGTATTGAGTTTGGATCTCAGCTTCACTTCTTGCTGTGGGATCTCTCTTCCTTCATTTCCTCATCTGCAAAGCTGAGGATATAATAGTGCCTATCTGTATTAGTTTGTTCTCACACGGCTATAAAGATATTATCCGAGACTGGGTAATTTATAACAAAGAGAGGTTTAATTGACTGACAGTTCTGCATGGCTGGGGAGGACTCAGGAAACTTAAAATCATGGTAGAAGGCAAAAGGGAAGCAAAGATCTTTTTCACATGGAGGCAAGAAAGAGAGCCTGCCAGAGTAGGGAAAATTGCCTTACATACATATCCGATCTTGTGAGAACTCACTCATTATCACGAGAACAGCATGGAGGAAACCGCCCTTGTAATCCAATCACTTCCCCCCAGGTCGCTCCCTAAACACCTGGGGATTACAATTCAAGATGAGATTTGGGTGGGGACACAAAGCTTAACCATATCACTATGTTATAGGGTTGTGGTGAGCATTCAATGTGTATAGCCCTTCAGACTGTGCCTGGTTAATAATAAGTGCTATGTAAGTGTGTTATTGTTATTTTTGTTACTCTGACTACAGATCTTTAGGTGTTAATTGGGTCAATGTTTTAGGCAAAAAAAAAAAAAAAAAAATCTCTTTATGAAAGATGTTATAATGGAAATAACTAGGGTAGTGAGCAGAATGCCAGCGTGATCACCATGGGTAGCATCTCAAAGCAAGGCCTTTTTATAGAAAAAAACAGAAAGATGACACTGATAGAATCATTGAGAATAAAAGGACATTGTCATTTATGAGATAGGCCAAGACGAAACTTCTAGAAAGAGGGACTAGAAGTAACAGTCCTACATATGGGGAAACAACAAGTTTCAAGGATGTAAGGAAGGGCAGACAGTGTAACTGAAAACAAGTGCATGGTGATGAGAGCTGGTTAGAGAAGGAGGAAAACCAGGTCAGTCCCGTTGTGCAAGCCTTTGTAAGGATTTGAATTTTATTCTACTCAGTGGTTGTGTTCCATGGAAAACAGATTCTGAGATTTGAGTTTTGCAGGCAGGAAGTTTGTTGCTGAGCTCTGTAAAGAACAACACTTAAGTCAGAGTAAGGAAAATACCACTGGTGGATAAAAGGAGCTGAACTGTGATGTGGTCACCACAAATGTCTTGCTCAGCTGTTCCCAAGGGGGGCTGTGGTGCTGGGATGGCTCTGTAAGTTATCTTGCATTTAGGCAACGGGGCTGGCCATTTATACCCCTACATCAACCAGTCATTGCATCCTAGCTGTCCCTGAGAAGGGGGCATAACCTTGGGGGTAGGGTATCTTCTGCCCTGTGTAATTCCTGGAGAGAGATACTAAGAGCTTTTTATTACCTACAGACTGTAGGATGAGCTCTTCCCTCCTGAAGGGTGACCTGGGAAGAGTAGCACAGTGTCCACTACAAATGGAAGCCATTCCAGGATTTAACAGAGAAGTCAACTCCTAATTTATTCCAGAAATAATCTTTGAACACCTACTTTGAGACAGATTTTATACTAGAGCCTGAAAATACAATGTGTAAGGAAGGTGTGAAGCCAACCGTCTGGTGAAGAATTTGGTCAGACAAATGGACAAGACAGCACTGTGCAATGAATGCTATAAGAAATGTAGCTTAAGGCCAGGCACAGTGGCTCCTGCCTGTAATCCCTATAATTTGGGCAGCCGAGGGGGGAGGATCACCTGAGGTCAGGAATTTGAGACCAGCCTGGCCAACATGGTGAAACCCTGTCTACTGAAAATACAAAAAATTAGCCAGGTGTGGTGGCGTACGCCTGCAATCCCAGCTACTCAGGAAGCTGAGGCAGGAGAATCGCTTGAATCTGGGAGGCAGAGGTTGCAATCAGCCAAGACCATGCCATTGCAATCCAGCCAGAGTGACAAGAGTAAAACTCCATCTCAAAAAACAAAAAACAAAACAAAACAAAACAAAAAAGAAATGTAGTTTAAGATGCTATGGGAACAAGGAGAAGCATTTAACTCAGCATAGAGGGAAAAAAGGAGTTGGAGATGTTGGAAAACCTCTGGGAAAGCTTGTGGTATTTGAAACAGAACCTAAAGGATGACTGGGGATTATTCTCATAAACGGTAGGGGTATGTTCCGGGAAAAACGCTAGCACTCACAGAATACCAGCCGTGAGACAAATATGAATGTAGTTCCTTATGGGTGGAGCAAGGAGTATGATCCCTTAACGATTCAGGAAACCCTACGTAACCTCTCAGGAAAGAGGAGGAAGATCATAGAATGTGACAGCTGCAAGTGACCTTAGACATCTTCGGGTTCAAGCTCTTCATTACATAGATGTAAAAAGGGAAGCAAATATGCTCAAGAAATTGTTCAAGGTTTAACACTAATGAACGGCATATGAGAGATGTGACTCCAGGCCTGACATGTAATCTGAGAATCTACAAGCTTTTACCCGAACTCACTTAGCATCATAAGACATGCGGATGCAGCTGCAACACTTACCATAATGGGATGCACACAGCAAGGGTTTAATAAATACTTGATTAGGGATATAGATCAGTTGATATAGCCCAAGGGCTTTTTATTAATGAGTAGGGTGGAGTCAGAGATGACATTAGATTTACAATCTCAATATAATAAGGATGACTAAGCCACATATTTCTTGGGTGTGAGAGAATACTAATTATACAACTGTGTTCTCTATAGTATATTTTCTCTGGTTTAGAAGTCTGTAGGAATTGTTTTTTTCCCTGAAGTCATCTAGTAAGAGAATTACAATTCGTTACAATAGTACAATTATTTACCTGTTGTTAACTTCTTCAATACAACATCTGGATGAATTATCACCAAGTATCTAAACTGTGTTTGAGAGCATTTGATTCTAAATGAGGGCTGTGTGTCATAATGAAAATTAACTTTTCGGAGATCCAAAAGGTAGAGTGGCCTCCTCCGGAGTAGATAAATAGGTGCAGCTAGAGGCTCCTAAGGCTTCCCCAAGTGACACAAGCCATAGTTACTAAGGTGCCAAGGACAACAAAAGAGGCTATCAAATATGGACACCAAACTGACAGTCTCGAGGGCAGATGTTCTGAATTGCAGGTGTGGGTTCCTATGGTGCTACTTCTCTCAGACTCAGCTTGAGTGAGTGGCTAAGGAGATTTATTTACTTAAGGCTGGATAACAACCTCCTAAGCAGCCACGATGACAGTAGCAACAGCAGCCACTATTTATTGGAACCTATTCAACGTCAGGTACTCCAGTAGTTACGGTTCATTGTTTTTTGCCCTCACAACAGTTTTCTGAGATGGGTTTTATCCATCCTATGTTACAGATGAAGAAATAGAGGGGCAGTGTGCTTAAACAACCTTCTCAAGGCTACACGGTGATTAAAAGGCATAAAACCCAGTCCATTTGACTCCAAAACTTATAATCCAAAGCGTCACAAGTGTGTGTGGGTTTACGTGTATATGTGTACACACATCTCTATATGCACATTATATGACTTTACAAGTATGATTTTATAGTTACAATTTCTCTATATTTTACTCTTATGAAAAAGTATAAGCCACAAAACTTGATCAGTGCTAACATGCAATACCAGCATTTTCAAATCTCTCTACTGATTCTAATAAAACTTAGGTTATGCATCCTCCGTTTTCAAGCAAACATGACAATATTAGTTCATGGGACAGCAGAATATATATTTTACCAAGTCACTTATGTGCAGATATCCTCAAATACAAAGGCCTTGGGATTAAGTATATTTGCAAGTGATTGGTAAAATTTTACACCAAAGATTTTTTTTCTAAATGAAAGGGAGTTAAAACTTCTTTTAAAAAAATAAAAAGCTAGCTTCCTTTCAATATTTTCCAGTGAAAAAATTCTTAGTAAATAAGGGAGACTATACATGAATCAGCTGAGTCTCAGTTGGAATTTTCCTTTAACAATAACCTGTATTTAATAAGCTGATGCCTAGAGTGCATGCCATGCTGTTTCAAAGTGATAGCAAGACCATGAGGAAGATCAAAGAGAAATGGTCATGGGATCTGAACCGCGAGACTAAGAAAGAGAATTGTATCTGCATGCACACAGCTACTTTTGTTGTGCCTATACAGGGAAAGGATTCACTTTATTTTCTATGACTGCTTAAAGATTTTAATCCAAACTTCCTTTCAGTAGCAGAGATCAAAAACTCCAGATATTGTTGGGTTATTGAAGAGAGAGACAATATATCTATTAGAAGAGAGGTGGCATCCTAGGGATTGTTCCCGGGAGGTTTTAGCACTAACCGGACTTAAAATGTGATCAGAGTAAACCTAAAGCAGCAATAGTAATGGTTAGGTGAGGAAGCCAGTGAGTCCAGTCATTCTAGTGCTGTTTAATAGTGATAATCACCTCCGCATCCTCTAACACTCCTAATGAATGGATACTTCAAAGATGTTCAGAAAAGACCCTTCCTCCTGTATAAAACTCTGTGTGCCGAACAGTGTGTAATTAATACCATTCTCACCACCATCCCATTAAGGTGAATTTAACCTTATGCATCTACAGAGTAGAAAAATTGCTCTCCCTTTTTAGTGGTGGTTTGTGCTGACTAGCCACTGTTCTCCCTTCTGTTGCTATGGCTGTGTTTATTGCTGGGATGAAGTTGGAAAGGTCACCTGCCCTTAGGCCTGCTAATTAGCATCTGCTGTACTGCTACTGTTTAAAAGTTCATAATTAAGTTGGACCACATTTCATTTGGTTAACAAGTAAATACATTTCAGAGTTTGGACAACGAAAACTTTGAGTTTTTAGTCACACATGCTCTGGTAAGCATTAACTTAGCCGATTATTTTCTAACACGGTCGTTTATTGAAAATATGTCACTGAGAAATGGAAACCTTGGTTTGTAGGGAAGATACACCAGTGAGAATGAGAAATAAATGTGAAGCACAGGGCAGTGACTTGAGAGGCAGAAAAGGGCTCTGTGCTTCTAGCAAAAAAGGAAGGGGCAAACACGAAACATAGCAGGAGCTAATGGTAGGCATAATGTCCTATCTAACCTAAAATTCTGTTATTGTAAGGAAACAATTCATCACACTTGCCTTCATCTTTCATTTCAGCTCTTAGTTCTCAGATATGGGGTTTCTGGAGAGAAGCTGTAGTTATACTATTCGCCAATTATTTATCACCATTTCTATCAGCGGTTGCCTTTATGGTGTCATTCCAGGGAATACATGAAAATTCTCTTAATGATTTCCTTAAAAGCTCTTCTGTCTTCCCCCGATATCTTAAAATTTTTAACAAAATCCTTTAATTCACACTTAGAGATAATTTCTAACATGAGTCTACCATAGATGAGGAAACAAACTAATTGTGCTAAACACGATGCATTCATGCTAAAGTGTAAATGACTGATAACTCTTCCAATAAATGAAAAAATAAAACAGGGACAATAGCAGGCAGTGCCAGAAGGGATGGGAGAACATAGAGAAAGAACACGAAGGACTGGAAAGATAAATTTCACTTACTTCACAATTGTGCCTCAGGCAAACTCTCCTATAAGTAGTTCCTAATGCTCCTGAGTCATAATAACGGTTATGAAATTTGGAGTGATTCTCTGACAGTGCAATTTGGCTTAAAAATCTGAAATATAGTCTTTACGTGAAGGGAGAGCCATTTGGATCTTATATTAACACTCCTTCTCTCTCTCTTCTCAAAAGACAAATGCAATTTCGTATAATGAATAATCTCCTCTTACAAATGTATTTTTCCTTCTGAGTCTTCTGCCAATTTGTCGCTTCTTGTCTACTTCTAGTATAATTGGACGTATTGGATATGAGAAGTGACTGTTGGCTTGTGCTTCCTTATTTAGGCAATATGCTTTATTATATACTTCACTTTAATATAGTATATATTAATACTATAGTATATTGCCTAAATAAAGCCATAACCATGAGTAACACCGAATTTCCCTCAGGGTTGTCTATCATGGGCACTGCTTTGAGATTTTTAAAAAAATTCTCCTGGAAACTGACAAACAATAAGAAAAGAGGTGAAAGCCTCTGAAAACCTAGTTATAAGTTAAATACTCTGCTGTGGTTGCTATTGGCCTTTTCTGGGGCTCTCAAGATGAATCCTTTTTAAGGCACACTGTCCCCACCATCAGTGATGGCTGTGCAACTGTACATGACTTTCAGGAAATGAGCCCTGGCTAGTAGAGTGAAGAATGTAGAATTTTCAGCCAAACAGTTCTGGGTTCGGTATTTGGCTCTACACTTACTAGTTGTATAACCTGAAGGAACTTGTATTACCTCTCTGAGCCTGTTGAACAATGAGAACACATGGACACAGGAAGGGGAACATCATACACCGGGTACTGTTGTGGGGTGGGGGGAGGGGGGAGGGATAGCATTAGGAGATATACCTAATGCTAAATGACGAGTTAAGGGGTGCAGCACACCAACATGGCACATGTATACATATGTAACTAACCTGCACGTTGTGCACATGTACCCTAAAACTTAAAGTATAATAATAATAAAAAAAAAATGAGGAGGCTAATGTGTCTTATACAGGAATACTTATAAAATGTTAGAGTTAAAATCCAGTGGCCAGGGTTACCCAGATATGCAGAGGAGTCTTGCCCAGGTCATGGCAGGCCAGTCTGTCTCAGTAAGTGACACTGACCTGAGTTACTGACCTGGTTGGTCTTGCTGCTGGTTCAGAAACTTGTTTTCTTGGACTTACTTGTTACCTGTGGGTTGACTCCCATTATCAGCTTAAATCTATGTGCCTTGAGAACTGTAACTACACAGATATGTCAAAATGCCAGTGTATTAATGAACCATAGGAAAAACTGCTATCAAACATATCACATGCTTGCACCAGTCTAACCACATATTCTCTTAACAGAGAGCCACATATAAAAACATGTTATAAGTTTGCTCATTAAATTAATATAGAATAAGAAAAAAACTATTTGTGATTCAAGTTTGCTTTTAGAATCTGATAACTTGCAAACTTATCTCTGTAGTCGGGATCTATGTCAACTGGATAGCGATTCGAGTGGACCTATCATTGGCCACCACCTCCCTCAGATGCTGCCTGGATAGGATCTGCTGATGTTCTCATGGTGGTGGTAGTTTGTTCATTTGTTTATGCTCTGCGGGTGAATAAACCCATTCTCTCCTCCGCCTGATTATAACTCTTCTCAGAATAGGATGTAATCGTGGTTCGACTTCTGCCGACTCAATTGTAATAACATCTCTTCTGTCCTGCATCCTGGAGATTCTTCCCTATGTCACTTGTATCAGAGTGATAAATATTCCCGAATGTTGCATTCATGCATTTGTAAGAACATGCATGCCTTTGTGAAAAACATGTCATACCCATTTTTTGTGGATTTTGCTAGGTTAGTTCTCAAAATATTAGTTTATATCTATAATTATTGATGATGAGCTTGCACCACTGTCTTCATAGGCCATTTTTTAAAATGAAGCAAAAATGCTTAGGACAATATCTGATACAGAGTAGGTGCTCGGTGATAGTGGCTATTAGAAGAGTTGTTATTTTTCTGTTGTGGTTGATGAAATGAGATTTTAATACCCTACACTAAAACTACCACATATGGCTGATATTATATGTGGGTAAATCAGGCAGCAGCGTAATATAGTCTGGCATGAAAGGTCACTGGAAACTCTATCTAAAACTCATGACTTCCCTGGTCTTCCAGCAATAGCAAACACTCCTTCCCTTTAAGATGCTCCTTCTAAACCAACACATAGTCTCCAAGCCTCCTTATAAATGGTAGAGAGTTAACCCGTGTTTGTGTTTGCTTAGTAATATCAGCCTTCCGAAGCAGCACAGCCAAATGTGCTGTGATAGAGGTAAGTGCAAGCAGTCCTAGTTAGACAGGCCTCACTCTATTACTTCCTGCAAGTTGCTTAACCTTTCTCTCAGTTTCCTAATTTATAAAGTGGAAAAAATGATAGGAACTGCCTTAGAGTTTTGTGGAAATTAAGATAATGCAGAGTGCTTAGCATACAGAGTGCCTGGAACATAGTGAATAGCCCAAAATGTTAACTTCTATTTTAATGATACAAATATGTGGTGGTGGTGGTGATATTCTGGTTATTATCCAGAGAAGGCAGGGAATACTATGAGCTAGATAATTGAAAAGAGCTGCTAAAAATGCCTTTTGCACAAATCTGATTAGTGTATCCTCTGCCCCATGATCTAAGGATAAATGCCTTAGGCATTTGATGGTTTTCATAGAAAAGACAGTTGAGAGTTCGCTTATTAATATTAAGATGAAATGGTGATTGTTTCAAATCAGACGAGCTTAAGCAATACTGGACAACAGCTCAGAGGCTACTTGCCAACATTGTTATACTCCAAGATCTGGCCCTCTTCTCTGAAACTGAGAGTTGAAGACAGGGACGCACTAACCAAATGGCAGACATGAAAGAGGCAATCCTCAGAATGCCAGCATATTAATATACCATAGGGTATACAACCATGAGCCAAAATGCTACATCATCATGATCATCATTGTCTCGTGATCACACTAGGTGGGAAGTTAACTTGCAGAGGGAAGCCACCACGTGAACTCTCTAGGACAAATCACTGCTGTAGGAACCAGAAATGAGAAGTCCATTAGAGCAGCGCATTCTCACTGAAGTCTGTGATTCGACATGGATAGACAGTGTATCAAAACCCCCTTGGGGCTTTTTCAAAATATTTTTACTAACCTCAGGCTATTCAGATTCATACAACATTTACAGAGGATGAAATCCCATGATCTCATTAGACTGTCATGAACTAACAAAATGCCAAAAGTGATTGAGCCTTGAACAAAAATAAAGAGAATTAGACAAAACCAGAGTTAAATGTCATAAGAAAAATGAACCTTTTTGAGGCTGTCTTACAGAAGAGACAGTCTTGCCGATGGGTCTGAAACATTCAAAGACAATGGACTGCAAAAATCTAAGAGGTGTGCACGGGATGTTTACTGTCTATTGTACCTGGCTCACTGAGAGCCAATCAAACGATTTTTACTTTAAAAAGATCACCAAGTAGTCCAGGCGTGGTGGCTCACGCCTGTAATCCCAGCACTTTGGGAGGCCGAGGCAGGTGGATCACAAGGTCAGGAGATCGAGACTATCCTGGCTAACACGGTGAAACCCAGTCTCTACTAAATATACCAAAAAATAAAAATAAAAATAAAAAATAAAAAATAAAAAGCCTGGCATGGTGGCGGGCGCCTGTAGTCCCAGCTACTCGGGAGGCTGAGGCAGGAGAATGGCGTGAACCTGACAGGCGGAGCTTGCAGTGAGCCAAGATCGCGCCACTGTGCTCCAGTCTGGGTGACAGAGTGAGACTCCGTCTCAAAAAATAAAAATAAAAAATCACCAAATAAACATCTGCAAAAATTAATTGGAGGTGGAGGATGGGAAGAGGAGCCCTGATAGGACTATGACCCATATTCATTGGGTACAATTTTATTTCCCAATTTTTTTTTTCTTGATAATATAAGCAGTGCTTTGGAAAACAGTGAACAGAAACGATGTTAACTACTGGCAGCTGCACATCTCATGCATGCTTCTGATTGTACATTGTTACTCACCACCGCTGTTTACTCTGTTTACTACTAATCACTACTTTCCGATTGAAAAAAATGCCACAAACAACCCCTTTTTGGAGAGTAAAGTGCATGTAGCTCTTTCCTATCTTTTCAAGGGGTGGACTTCAAAAGTGGTAGGCTCATTTGTGAAGCAAGGGTACAAATTCTGCCTTGGAGTAGACATACAAATCTGTTTGAGAGG
The DNA here is from genome assembly GCF_000001405.40 of Homo sapiens. NCBI lineage: Eukaryota > Metazoa > Chordata > Mammalia > Primates > Hominidae > Homo > Homo sapiens. The sequence goes on from NC_000005.10 coordinate 165,728,397, forward strand.
AGTGATATTGTAGGCAAAGGGCTAGGCACAGCATATGCCCTTGGGGGCTCATCTGGAAAATAGGTCAACAGGTTCCATATCTGAAAATGTTCCCTACGTATTTCATTAGAAAGTAAATTTTTTTGGTCAAACTTTTTTGTGTGTAAATTACATAATAGGACACAGCTGGTTGTATACCCCCATATATGCTGATACAGTGTTGTGTATAAATTGCTGCATAGAAACATGCCAAATGGGCAAAAAAATACAACATGAGCAAAATTATCAGATTAGATTGGCAGATGCTGATATTAAACATGTCTGTTTACATTGTGTATAAAAGGTTTTCATGGGCTTTGATTTTAGATTCAGTAGAGCATCTCTGTTTCTTTTATGAGATCTAAATTACGCTAGTTATTACCAGTTTTGGAAAATGTAAGTTAAATTACGGAAATAATCATATGCTTTTGCTATTTATTTTTCTCATTATAAATCGTAACACAAATGTAGTAATAATATATTCGAGGAGCCTATCACCAGTCACTCCTAACTAGAGGTAGTATTACTGTTAGCCCAATAATCTTTTTGAAATCTTTAAAAGAAATAAAAATAAAATAATCACAATAATAAATTGTATCCCGGCAGCACAATTTACAAGATTTTTATGGATACAAAATGAAATAAGGCACATCTTGAACCAAGTCACATTATTGGGCTACTGATGGACAATATTTTAGAATATTCAATTGTGTAGTCCCAAAACCAAATTTTTAATAACACTTTTAGTAATATAGCCTAATATAGTCCAACAAAGCATACTGAGACTATAGGCTTATATATAAAATAGATATACACATACACATATATATATAAAGCATACATTTACATATATACATGAATATATATGCACATATGATCACCTTGCTCCAATTTAAAATTGTGTACAATGCAAAATCTAATTACCTATAGCATGTCAACATCAGGCAGTGAACACATATTTGTTTCCTATTAGGAAAGACTTCTCCCCAGTGCAGAGTGAACATGAAAGCCTTTGATGTCCATTCCAGAATCAGTTACTCTGTAACACCTATTCAGATAGCACCTCTAGAATTTTTCTGACTTAGCAGATTTTCAAGTGTCTAGATTGAATTTCACTTTTCAGTGTCCAAGTGCTTGAGGAGAATCTAAATTCCTATATGGTATATAAACACGTGGAGCCAAGAAAAATATGAAATATTACACAAGTCTTGTAAAATCATTATTTGGGCTTCTTATTTAATCTCTACAGACTAAAAAGAATACATATGGTAATGTCTGGGCATTGCTGATTCATTTCTCCTTGAAGATACATGTATTTATATTTCTGTCTGTTTGTAACTCCTGTTAGCCTGAAAAATTTCATTAGCCTTTTTTATATTTCATGTCTGCTGGCAATGAAATCTGGTTTTTTTTCTTAGTTTATTTCTCTATTATTTTCCTTTGTTTTTCTTTTTGAGATGGAGTCTTGCTCTGTCGCCCAGTCTACAGTGCAGTGGTGTGATTTTGGCTCACTGCACCTCCACCTCCCGGGTTCAAGCAATTGTCCCTGCCTCAGACTCCTGAGTAGTTGGGACTACAGATGCCCACCACCAGTCCTGGCTGGTTTTTGTATTTTTAGTAGAGATGGGGTTTTACCATGTTGACCAGGCTGGTCTCAAACTCCTGACCTCAAGTGATCCACTCGCCTCGGCCTCCCAAAGTGCTGGTATTACACATGTGAGCCATTGTGCCTGCCCTTTATTATTCTTGAAATATATTTTCACTAAGTAGAGACATCTGGGTTGACATATTTTTTTTTATCTATCAGCACGTGAATGTTGTTTCAGTTGTGATACCTATCATTTCTAATGAGAAGTTAGAAAAAATTGAAAAACAGTTGACACTTGAACAACATGGATTTGAACTGTGCACGTCCACTTATACGTGGATTTTCTTCTGCCTCTCCCATCCCTGAAACGGCAGGACCAACCCTTCCTCTTCTGTCTCCTCAGCCTACTCAACATGAAGATGACAAGAATGCATAACTTGATTATAACCCACTAGCACTTAATAGTAAATACATTTCATCTTCCTTGTGATTATCTCAATAACATTCTTTCTCTAGCTTACTTTATTGTGAGAATACATTTTACAATACAAATAATACACAAGATATTTGTTAATTGACCATGTTATCAGTCAACAATAGGCTATTAGTTAATATATTTGAGAAATCAAAAGTTATACGCATTTGACTGTGGGGACTGGGAGGATGGTCAGCGCTCCTGGCTTCATGGGTTATGCAAGGGCCAAGTGTAATTGTTCTTGTATAAGATGTGTGTTTTCATTTGGCTGCTTCTAAGATTTATCTTTGCTTTTTGGCAGTTTGGTTATAATATGTTTAGGAATTTCTCATATTTCTGATTTGCTTTTTTTCCTGCTTGGAATTCAGTAGCCTTTATTATCTGATATTATCTGTAAATTTATAACTTTCACCAAAATATTTTTCTACTTTGTTCTATTCTTCTGAGATTCTAATTACACAAAATTTAGACTGTTTAATGGCCCACAAGTCTCTGAGGGACATTCACTTTATTATCCAATAGTTTTTTCTAGTCTTTATTTTTATTTATTTATTTGTTTGTTTGTTTATTTATTTATTTATTTATTTTGAGATGAATCTCGCTCTGTTGCCCAGGATGGAGTGCAGTGGCACAATCTCTGCTCATTGCAACGTCCACCTCCCGGGTTCAAGCGACTGTCTTGCCTCAGCCTCCCGAGTAGCTGGGATTACAGGCGTCTGCCACCACGCCTGGCTAAGTTTTTGTATTTTTAGTAGAGATGGGGTTTCACCATGTTGGTCAGGCTGGTCTCAAACTCTTGACCTCAGGTATTCCACCAGCCTCAGCCTCCCAAAGTGGTGGGATTACAGGCATGAGCAACTGTGCCTAGCCTCTAGTCTTTAAATTGAATACTTTTTATCTACACATTTATTCACTTTTTCTCTATTGTTAATGCAATGCTATTAAGCATACCCCATAATTTTTAGATTTGTTTTTTAGAATTTTTATTTATTTTTGGCAGTGTTTTATTTCTCTGAAAACTTTAAATATTTTATTATAAACATATTACCCTTTTACATTTTGAATGTAGTTATGATTCTATTAGCTGGGTTGTATCAATGTTGGTCTCAGTGACTGTCTTTTGCTTGAGAATTGGGAACATTTTCCTGGTACTTTACATGTCACATACTTTTAGAATATACCTTAGATATGCTGATTGCATTTTGTGAAGATTCTTCATTCAGATATATTTCTCTGGAAAATGTCAAATTTTGTTGTTTGGTTTTAGCAGGCAATTAACTTACTTAGACATAAACTGCAAATTGTCTTAAGGAGAGCAAGTCAAATTGTAGTTCAGCTGATTTGTTCTTAGGTAGGCTGATTTGAGAATCCTCTGAGCCAGTCCCATGCATGCATTATCCAGTGGTCAGCTGTACATTTTTGAAGAGTTTATACACAAAATGTGATTCTCTTCTCTCTGGATCTCCATCCTAGGATTTCCTTTTATTTACTATGGTTGCCACAGAACACTTTTATTGATCTTTGCATCCAGAAAGTCTGTATGTTTTCTTTTGGCATTTCTGTCGCCCTTGCATGAGATTGGATGTGACCTGCCCTTAGACTTAAATCTGTAAAAATGGTTACTCACCTATGATGATCCATTTTTCAAACTGCCAACTCTTCTCTAGAATTATCCTTTTCATTTTGCAAGGCTTTTGGTTCATTGATGTTTCTGTATTATTCCCAATTTTATCACTGATACCTGTGGGAGAGTGAGATCTAGAAGGAGATTGTTGGGCCATTCCAGAATCAGAAATTCTATGAAATATGACTGGTTATATTTTTTCTTTTATTTTCAAATGACATAAAATATTTGTACATATTTATGGGATACAGAGTGTATTTATTTCTGAGTTCTCTATTCTGTTACATTGTCTGTTTTCGTGTGTCCATTTTTATACCAATACCCTGTTGTTTTATTTATTATAGCTTTGTAGTGTATTTTGAAATTAAGTGGTATGATGCCTCCAACTATTCTGTTGTTGTAATGTTCAATATTACTTTGGCTATTCAGGGTCATTTTTGGTTCTATTTGAATTTTAGGATTGTTTTTCTATTTCTGTGAAGAATGTCATTGGTATGTTAATAGAAATTTCATTGAATCTGTACATTGCTTTGGGTAGAATGTTTTAACACTATTCTAACAATTCATGAGCATGAATATTGTTCCAGATTTTTGGTGTCCTCAATTTCTTTCATCAGTGGTTTATAGTTTGCCTTTTAGAGATCCTTCACCTTCTTAATTAAATTTATTTCTAGATATGTATTTTTGTAGCTATTGTAAATGGGATTCCTTTTTTGATTTATTTTCCAGCTGATTTATTAGTGTAGAGAAATGCAGAGTTTTTTAATTGTTGATTTTGTATCCTGCAACTTTACCAAATGTGTTTATCACTTCTAAGAGTTTTTTGGTAGTTTCATTTAGTGTTTCTACATATAAGATTATGTCATTGTTAAAGAGGGAAATTTGACTTTCTGGTCTTCAATTTGGATGCCCTTTGTTTCTTTCTCTTGCCTAATTGCTCTGGCTAGAACTTGCAACACTATGTCGAATTAAAGTGGTGAAAGTGGGCACTCTTCTGTTGTTCCAGTTGTTAGAGGAAAAGCTTTTACCTGTTTCTCATTCAATATGATGTTGGCTTGGGTATTTTATATATGACCTTTAGGGTGTTGAGGTATGTTCATGTATGCCTAATTTGTTGAGAGGATTTAATATGAAGTGATGTTAAATTTTATTAATTTTTTCTACATTTGTTGAGATTATTATATGGTTATTCATTCTGTTGATGTGACATATAACATTTATTCATTTACTTATTGTGAGGCATCCTTGTATTTCTGTGCTAAATCCCATTTGATCATGGTGTATTTTTTTTTGATATGGTATTGGATTCAGTTTGATAGTATTCTGTTGAGAATAATTTGTCCAGATATGTTCGTTAGAAATATTGGTCTTTAGTTTTTTTTGTTGTTGTTGTGTCTATCTGGTTTTGGTATCAGTAATACTGGTCTCATAAAATGAATCAGGGAGATATCCCTTCTTGTATATTTTTTGGAATAGTTTGAGAAAAATTAGTATTTAAAAGTTTGATAGAATTTAACAGTAAAGCCGTTTCGTCCTGGGGTTTTCTTTTTTGGGAGATTTTTTTTATTGCAGTTTCAATCTTATTATTCATTATTGGTTTATTTAGGTTTTCTATTTCTTCCTGATTCAGTCTTGGTAGGGGTTATGTGTCCAGGAAATTACCCATTTCCTCTGGATTCTCTAATTTATTAGCATATAATTGCTCATAATAGTGTCTAACAATTGTTTGTATTTCTGTGGTATCAGTTGTAATGTCTCCTTTTTCTTTTGTTATATTATTTGGGTTGTCTCTCTTTTGTCATAGTCTAGCTAACAGTTTAATTTTGTGTACCTTTTTAAGAAACCAACTTTTTCTATTCATTTCAATTTTTTTATCTCTGTTTTCTTTAGTTATACTTATTCTCTATTATTTTTTCTACTAATTTGGATTTGATTTATTCGTGATTTTCTAACGTCTTAAGGTTCATCATTAGATTGCTTATTTGAATTATTTCTATTTATTTCATGTGTTTATTTCTATAAACCTCCTGCTTAGCACTGCTTTTGCTGTATCCCATGGGTTTTGGTATGTTGTGTCTCTGTTTCATTTGTTTCAATAATTTTTTTAATTTACTTTTTAAATTTCTTCATTGATCCAATGGCCATGCGGAAGGATGTGATTTTAATTTCTATGTATTTGTATAATTTCCAGAATTTCTTTTGTTATTGATTTCAAGTTTTTATTTGTTTGTTTTATGGCAGCACTTTTATTTTTCCTTACACAATGACATGTTGCTAGGGCCGAATATTCTCACTAACAATAGAAAACCATTGTGTACAAAAAAAAAAACCTTACATAAATTAAAAGGATGAATACATTTACAGGTGTAAATGCAAACCACTGCCAACTCAAGGCAAGGAAGATTTCTAGTTTTATTCCTTTTTGGTCTGAGAAGATACTTGATATGATTTTGACTTGTTAATGTTGAGATGTGTTTTTTGGCCTAACATATGGTTTTTCCTGGAAAATGTTTCATGTGCTTATGAGAAGAATCTGTATTCTGCAGCTATTGATTAAAACGTTTTCTAAATATATCTTAGGTCCATTAGGTATATAGTGCAGTTGATATCTGATGTTTCTTTGTTGATTTCTGTATAGATGACCTGTCCAATGCTGAAAATGGGTTGTTGAAGTCCCCAACTATTATTGTGTTGGGGCCTTTCTTTAGCTCTAACAATATTTGATTTGTATATGTGGTCTCTCAAATGTTGGTTGCATATATATTTACAATTGTTATATCCTCTTGCTAAATGGATGTCTTTATTATGTAGTGACTTTCTTTGTATCTTTTTATTTTTAGTTTTTTCACTTACAGTCAATTTTGTCTGATATAAGTATAACTATTCCTTCCTGCTTTTGGTTTCTGTTTGCCTGAAATATCATTTTCCATCCTTTCATTTTTAGTCCATGTGTGCCTTTACAGGTAAAGTGCGAGTGAGCGTCTTGTAGGCAGTATGTAGTTTTTTCTCTTTGTTGTTGTTGTTGTTTTAATTCGTTAAGCCAGGCTATAATTGTTGTTGTTGTTATGGGCAGAGTCTTACTCTGCCACCCAGGTTGGAGTGCAGTAGTGCAATCATAATTCATTGCAACTTCCAAGTCCTGGGCTTAAGCATTCCTCCTACCTCAAAACTCTGAGCAGCTAGGACTACAGGTGTGTGCAACCATGCATGGCTAACTTTGTGTGTGTGTGTGTGTGGAGGCAAAGTCTTGGTATGTTGCACAGGCTGGTGGTCTTGAACTGCTAGGCTCAAGTGCCTAGTCTATACTTTTTCATTAGTGAATTAAAACAATTTACATTCAAAGTTGTTATTGATAGGTAAAAACAGACTCCTGTCATTTTGCTAACTGGTTTCTGTTTGTTTTGTTCATCTTCTTTGTTTCATTCTCTTGTTGTTTATCTTTGTGGTTTGGTGGTTTTCTGCAATGAAGTTGCTTAATTCCTTTCTTTTTCTCATTTACGTACCTGCTACCAATGAGTATCATACTGTTGTGTGTTTTTATGATGATAAGTATATTTTTTGCCTGCAGATGTAGGATTCTCTTAAGCATTTCTTGTAGAATTGATCTAGTGTTTATCTATCCCTCAGTTTTGGCTTGTTTGGGACCTTATTTTTCCTATATTCCTGAAGGATAGCTCTGCTAGGTTACAGTGTTCTTCACTAGCAATTTTTCTTTACTTTCAGTTATTTAAATATATCAACCCATTCTCTTTTAGCCTGCAATGTATCTGGTGAGAAATCTGCTCATAGTCTGATGGAATTCCCTTATATATGACTATATGCTTTTCTCTTGCTGTTTTTTGAATTTTCTCTTTGTCTTCAATTTGTGACAGTTTGACTATAAAGTTCCACAGGAAGGACGTTTGTATTGAATTTGGGGATCTTTCAGTTTCTTGTATCTGGGTGTTTATATCTCTTACAAGACGTGGAAAGTTTTTGGCTATTATTTTATTAAATGGACTTTCTATGCCTTTTCGCATCTCTTCTTCTAGAACTCCCAAAGTGCTTGATAGTGTCTCATATGTCATATAGGCTTTCTTTATTTTTAAAATTTTCTTTATTCTTTTTGTCTGACTGGGTTAATTCCAAAGATATCTCTTCAGTTTAGACATTCCTCCGCTTGATTTAATCTGTGTTTTTATTTCATTCTCAATTGAATTTTTATTTTATTAATTGAGTTCTTCATTTCCAAGATTTCTGTTTAGTTCCTTTTTTTATCTAACTGTTGAATTTCTCATTCACATTACAAATTGGTTTTCTAATTTCTTTGTATTGTTTACCTGTGTTCTCTTGTATTGCTCTGAGTTTTAATAAGATCATTATTTTCAATTCCTTTTCAGGCTTTGTATGCATTTCTTTTTCTTTGGGGTTTGTTACTAGAAAATTATCACTTTCCTTTGGAAATTTCATGTTTCCTTGATCTTTAATATTTCTTCCATCATTATTTTGATATCTCTGCATCTGGTGTAATAGACTTTTTTTCTGTAGATGTGTCTATAAAGTCAGTTGGGTAGGGTACCTTGGGTAGGGTACTTTGTGACTAGAAATTACACCATAGTATAATGTACAGATGATTTCTTTGGCTGGAATGAATGTCAGTGCTATGAGTTCCCCAGTAGCTTAGGCTGTGATTGTGGAGGCTGTGGCTTAGTCTTTGCTGGTGACTGAGCCACTGGGTAAGCCATTACTCAGGTCTCTAGGTATATATATAAGCAACAGCTGTAGCAGCAGCAGGCTCCAGGGGAGTCATTTCTTGGGTCCCTGGATGGTGTGCATGGGTGGTGGCAGTGGTAAAGGCTGACCAGTAAGGCTGGTTCTTAGACCCCCAGTCAGTGTTCATAGACAACAGCAGTCGTGGTGGGCTTTCTGAGCTGGGTGGACTGGTCTTTGGGCCACCAGGCTGGGTACTTGGGTGTCAGTGGTGGCAGGCTAGGCAGGCTGGTCCTTAGGTTTGTAGATTCCCAGATGGTGCATGTTCATGTCAACTGGTTAGCAGACCAGTTCTTGGGCCCTTGGGTGGCACACATGGGGGCATGGTAGCCCCATTGCTGAAGGAATCAGGGTCACTATCCATGATGGTCCTAGGCAGGTGACTCTCAGGCTCTGGGTAGCATAATATTCTGCTCCCTATGTCCTGTGGGCAGCCTCCGTGATGTGTTGGACTGCTTGTACTTTGGGGAGTAGAGTGTTGCTTGGACTCAGGTACTGGATACATGATCAAATGCTGGGTATAGCTGGTGTTGCAATGCTACAGCCCCGAGTGGAAGTGTGGCGATGTTGATAAAGTTCCTGGGATGTGGGGGATACAGGTATTACTTGTCTTAGGGCAGCATGAAGTCTGGTGTTGGCTCCTACTATTGGGTTTTAATGTTTAAACTATAAGCACAGTGTGAGTGTATGTATTTGTATTTTTCAGGTATTCTGTCTTGTTAAAAACAAATGAATTTCCTTTTGACCTAAATAATCCTTTGTTCAATAAATACAAATTAATAAGTTTCTGGCTACATTGCTACCTGGAGCTTTATCCTTAATGAAATTCATTAGTAAATATTTTCTATTCACTCAGTAATAACTTCAAGTTGGTGATATGAAAAATCATTTTTATAACATATTTCAAAATGACCATGTGTCACTAAATTAATCATAAATCTGTGTGTCAACCAGGCACATTGTTCAGGGTACAAAGTAAACATAAGGCTCAGTTGTGCCTATAAAATTTCCCAAAGAATCCTTAAACATAGTAGAGACTAAGAGAAGAGGTAATAAGAGACATAAACACATAGGAATTTCTCATGTCATGATGAAGTGGCAGAAAAAATACATAAACTAAACGCTATAATGTCTTGCAAAGCAATATAATTATCAAGAAAAGTTTTATATGTGATGTTTTATTGTGATAGCTGTTTAAGGACATGGGTTATTTTACACAGAAATATGATGAATATATTTCAGAAAGAGAATAAGAGAAATGTGTGGAATGATCAGAGAAGAGATACAAAATACATTTCATTAGAGCTTAAAGTTTTGTGTAAGAGTAGCAAGAGTTGGAAATGAAGATTGGGTCTAAATTTGTAAAGAGCTTATATTATAGGACCACTGTAAACTTGGAGGGTCTATTGATTATAATCTGTGATTTTGGAATATTGATTCATCTCCAGAGTTCCAAGTGATTAGAGTTGGTAGTTATTAGGAAAGGAAAGAAAAGTTAGGAGATAATTGCAATACTTGAGGCTGAGGTTGAGTATTCCCACTTGAGGGTGAATTTGGGAATTAAAAGGAGCAAAGGGATGTTCAAGACATATCAGTAGTAGGTAGATAATTTAATAACTAAGTTGATACATAAAGAAAATGAGATCTTAGCATAAGCAGCTTAGTTTTAAAAGTTAAAAACAGGATGAGTTTAGTTTAAGAAATGTTGAATATGCAGTGATAGTAAGACATAATCAGCAAAGAGCTGGAAATAAAGACTGGGATTGAGTATAAATACCATGGTTGGAGATACATATTTAGAGTTATCTGACTAATTATAATTAATAATAATTACAGCTAATATCGATATACTGTATGCCAGGCATTCTGCCAAGTGCTTTACCCAAATAACCTCATTTTCTCATCAAAGACATCTATGTACGTCCTAATTTTTATTTTTATATTATATATTAGGAATCTGAGTTTCTGATATGTTCGTTTTCTCAAGGTCACACAAATAACGGATAGATCTAAAATATAATCCTAGGAAGTCTGATTTCTTTTCTGATTCAAAAGAAAATAGATGTTAAGAAATCAAAATTGATGTCAGGATCCTTTGAGGTTGTTGAGAGATGTGGAGTGAGGAAGAAAATAAGAGGGAAAATAAATGAAACTTAAATCTGGGAAGGCATGTAGAAAAGGATTTGAGGGATAAAAATGAGCAATCAGAGCAGCACAAAGAGCATAATCCAAATCATGATGGACTGACTTTGAACTCTCTCTTTTTTTTCTTTTTTTTTTTTTTCCTGAGGAGGTTGGTTGGATGGAATGGGAGATTATTCTTTGTCTAAGTCTTTCTAAAATTCACATGGGCGAGCTGACTATTTTATCCCATTCTTCACGCTCTCCTACCCATCATCAATCCTGCTCTCAATGGCCTCTGTGAGCTTGCTCCTCCCTCTGGTGACAGCATCTGCTATGATGGCAATGTTATTCCCTCGCCTAGGCCCTTTCTCTCACAGTCTTTAACTGGGGTGAGGCTATCATTTTAAATAAAATTTTATGGAAGTAGTTAAATAGTGGATTTCAGGATACATTTAAATGCATTTAAGTGTGCATTTCATAATAGTCAAACAAACAGGTTTCTATCTATGCCAAGTTCCCGTATCTGAGCAGTTATCAGCCTTGCTTCTCGACTGCTTCTGCCTGAATAGGAGCAGCTCAGCCACATCACAGAAGTCTTCCAGGCTGTTTCTCTACGGCTAGAATGCACTGATTGCTGACATCAAAGAAAAGTGCTTTGTTTTCTTGTTGGTTTGTCTTTGGTTTCCTTTTTTTAGGAAACAATGTTTAGGGAAACATATTTATGTAAACGTATATGTTTCCCTAAATTCACGTTTTCATAAATTTGTATGCACAGCCATTGGATTAAATTACCTAAAAATAAAGTTTGGAGATTTTCCTAATTTCTCTTCATATGAGAATATAGAGCTTCCTTGGAAGAACTGGACACTAGGCTTTAGGAGGTAACCAGTTAAATAATCAGAATAATATTCTTCTTTCACTCACTTTCTAACTCCTATCCCATTGGAAAGAGAGGGAGATTGGGTGAAGGAGGAGGGGGAAGAACTCCTCCACTGGTTTAATAACTTCCATATAAGCAATGGCCATGGAAGTCCCCAACTGCCTCCCAACCCCCCTACCCCTGGAAAAAGCCATACCAAATTTAGACTTTTTTTCTTAAACAAACGTTGTCCTTGCCACCTGTTGTATGTCATTTTTAATAACAGTTATCAGTGGTAGTCCTTAAGAAGTAAAAGAAATGATGGATACGTGTATGAATGGAGTGGTCTAAGGTGAACTAATTCCTGAGTCTTGCTATCTTCATGGCCATGTTTAGTTTCTGCCAAAAAGGTTTGCAATTGCCACCTGTAAAAGTACAAGCATGAAGCGTCAGGAGCTTTTGAAAGGAAGTGCCAGATAATTAATGCCAAGTCCAGGATATTAACTAACTGAATCTGAAGAACAGGGACCTTTTCTTCTCATAATAGTCATCAAATACAATAGGTGGCATTTTAAATATTTAATAAAATATGAATAATAAATAACACTGTAAATAAAAGGTCAGAAGCTGGCCTAACGCTAGGGAACTCAAACACTTGAGGGAACAAAACACTGGCATATTTATTCTAGGCAACTGCCCTCTATGATCTCCAGAGGATGGTCTGACTGACCTGAAAGGTCTTTCCCATTTTTGGTTAATTTGGTTTTATGGAAAATATGCTTCTAATATTTTTGTACTCAGGAGGCCCCAAGTTTTCATTAAATAAGGAAAATATTAAATTGTTTAATCTCCAGGGTCATTTTTATGTTTACCTTTCAAACTAAAATATTCAGGTCTCAAGCTCTGCTGGATTCAGCCCTTTGACTGTGGGTTGGTTCATTGGATGAAACATTGTATCTTTTACATCTTTTCACTAGGGGAGACCTACTTGTTTAGTCCCTCTAGTATTTACTGTTCTATTTCCAGATTGAAGTAATCCTAGACGAAATGAACTCAGGAAAGAAAAGGAGTGAGTCGAATTTATGTAAGGCCAAGAAAGCCAGTGGAAAAGAAAAGTGGATGGCTTTCATGTCAAAGGTGAAAAAATAAAATAAACACATTATCTGCTATTAATTAGCAGATAGTCCAAATCCGAGAGTTGATTTTTGCAGTCCTATTTCACACAATTGATGCAGTTTTCCTCCTCCTGCTTGTTTAGCACCATTGCCAAGGTAGAAAGCAAATACTGGGATACTGAGAAAAAAGAAAATTCTTTTTAGCTTTTGCTCTTTTCTGTTGAAACTTCTCATTTTGGGCTTCACCTTTGGGCTGCTTTGTCTTGTGTGAAATAAAGCATTTGTAGGTTTTTCGGAATTGATTTATTTTTAAATGATATATTTCAACCTTAAGTTGCATTTAAGCTCTACAGCAAAAACAGGATCTTTACTCCATTGCACAGACTTTGGAAAATACAGAGTTTACTTTGTGCGAGATATGACTGGCAATTAATGCCCAAACAGGAAACTTCTAATGAGTTTTCTACCTATTTGAAATTAAGCTAAATTTAATACCAAATGTATTATTTAAAACAGTATCTTTGGTAAACCTCATAAACCGCATATTCAGAGTCATGTCAAGGGAGTGACGAATACTGAGCACTGAATAGTATACTTCATAGAAATAGAATAAAAACAAAGAAGTTAAAAATATAAATACTCTTTACTTTTATCTATTGTTTATTCTGAATTGTATTTTATAGCAAAACGTTTGAGAAATCAGAAGCACAAACAACATATGGAGGACTAAATATTTTGTAGGCCTAATGATGTATTAGTATTTTGCTTTGTATGAAATTCTAATCACCAGATATGCTTATCACTGCAGATGGAATATGCAGGCCTCTGATACCTCGGGGGATTAGAGAATCCAAACATCTGTAGCAGGGGAAGAAAAAAAATCCCATTGCAATATACAAAATTTAAAAGAATGAATTAATGAGAAAAAAATGAATGGAAATAAAAGTTTATTCTTAATACCATCTTGTATTTATAATTACCAAGGAGCTCTACATGCCTTAGAGATCTTGATTGCATCCTTTAAAAATGTAATGAGATACTAAAACACAATCTAGATGTAAGTTGGAGAAATATACAATATTCTTCCATTTTTAGTGGGATGGTTTGGAGCTGAGATAAAGACATGCCGTAATTAATGTGGTCCACATGTTTATTTATACAATTGAAACACCTGGCTTATAATTGGCTGCTTTAGTAAATTCAACCAGATATTTTCTAAACATATTAAGACTCTATTAATTGGAAAACAGAGGAGAGGGTTGTTTTGGTTATGCAAATTTACCAGTTTAACTGAAAGGAGTCAGAGATGACAGATCTGAAATGTATTTTGGCTCTAGAATATTTTTTGCCATTTGTTCAAAAAAGACGTTACACCTATTCTTGTTTCCACGATTTGTACCTTTCTGATAAAGCCACGTGCAAGGGAATAATAGATTCACATTTGGTTCTGATGACTGATTTATTGATTTATTCAAGTCATTTTCATTTTAAAAAACTGTTGTGAGGAACTCTTCTAGAAAATGGGATAAATTGAAAAGAATCTGATTGTCAGGTGTAGAAGATAGACATATAAACAATAGACCCCTTCCAGAACAAGATTTGTGTCATCTTAACTTTTAATATAATTGAAGGACTTTCATATGAACTTTTAAAAACTGTATGATCTAGTTTAGGCAAATTTTAAGTATTGCCTTTGAAAATAACATTTTTAATTAAATTAGAGTTCAGGAAGGAAAAGGGGTGCTTCATCCACAAAGTTGTAAAAAAGAGTAGTAATGTCATGGATTCTGAAGCTGGACAACCGTGGTTCCAATTACAGACCTGCCAGTTAATAGCTCTGTGACTCGAAATAAGTCAGTCACTGAGCTCAGTGACTCAGTTTTCACATCTATAAAGTATGTATAACAATATTTTCTTTGTGAAGCTGTTGTGAGAATTAAAAAGTTTATACAAAAATATATGTGTTTATATGAATGTATACATACACAGATTGATACATGTAGTTATAATCTATAATTACATATATATATCTATACTACTATCTCTTACAGCATAGCCTAGAACATTATAAGTGCTATATAAGTTTTATGCATTCTTTAAAACAAATAATCGTTTCTGTTTTTGTCAAATTAAAGTTTGTATAAAGAAAAAATGTAAGAAATCAGCATTTTCTTACTGAATTATATTAATATTTGATAATAGGAAATAAGTTCCTTTTTTTTGTTTTGTTTTGTTTTTTGAGACAGGGATTCACCTGTCACACAGGCTGGAGGCTGGAGTACAGTGGTACAATCTTCGCTTACTGTAACCTCCTCCTTCTGGGCTCAGCTGACCCTCCCACCTCAACCTCCTGAGTAGCTGAGACCGCAGGCATGTGCTACCCAGCTCATTTTTTTATTTTTTCGTAGAGGCGGAGTTTCACCATGTTGCCCAGGCTGGTTTTGAACTCCTGAACTGAAGTGATCCACCCAGCTCAGCCTCCCAAAGTGCTGGGATTACAGGCATGAATCCCAGTTTTCTTATCAATATCATTGTGACTGAGTTACCTGGGTTCTTAATCTGTAATAATGTCAACGGGAGGGTCAAAAACTTGCAAACCCAGGAGAAAGATAAATTTTCAGATTTTTGTTAAAGTAAATACTTCAATACACTTTAAGGTAATATAATAACAGAAATCAAAGAATCAAGTAAATTTCTAATAGTCTTTAAGGCAATCATTTTCATAAATGCATACAAATAATATTCAGTTTCACAAGTATGTAGATTTGGGGGATATTATCAATGAAGCTTTTATCCATTATTTTCTGGGAAACATATTTTCTTATGGAGGGGATTCTCATAATCGTAGTGTTTATTGAATTAGACAAGATATCAGAAAACTAGAGCCTTTGGGCCAAATCAAGCCCAGCATCTGGATGTGTAAATAAAGTTTTATTTGATCACAGCCATGTTCATTCTTTCACACACTGTCTATGGCTGCTTTCATGATACAATGACTGAGTTCAGTAGTAGCAACAGAGACCTGAAATATTTACTACTGGGCCCTTTGATAAATAAATTGGCTGGCTCCTGAGTTAATCTCAAAATCCATCATAATATGAATAAGTTGGTAAATACATGAAAACTTATAAAATCCATCTCGATTCAATCATATAGTCTCATAGAACAGTACTATTTGTTGCCTGAACACTTCTAGATCTCTTGCTAATTTTAGTTTTGAAATTTGTCAGTGCTGTACGAAAATAGAGCAATGACCTTGCAAAGTGACATTGCAAATCTTGTGAAAAGTCAGAGATTCTATGAAGTAGGTGAGAGTGACATTGGAGAACTGTTCTAAGAACTTACAAAGCCATTGATTAACATGGGAATATCTGGCAGTTACAACAGTGACCAAAAGAAAAAGCTATCTTCCTAAAGAAAAATTGACACAAACAGTGAAATGTTAGGTACTTCAAAGGAGTGTGACTTAAATATCAGAGCTAAGAGAAGCCCCTGGGAAAACTTACAAAGCCCTGAAATACTTTTAGATAAAGACTGTGCAAAAGTTAATTGCGAAGTGAAAGATGTCATTTCATGATATCACAAATTTTTACCAGAGAAACTATACATTGAAAACAATGTTTGTGTATTTTTAATCTCAAGATGGGGAGTGCCTGATTATAATTACAATCTAAAATTTGCTAAGCAAAAATTAGATATTTTTGAGACAAAATCCTTTTCACTTTGTACTATATACTAGCAGATTCATTTTAAGTAGGCATATCATAAGGTACTTATTACTCAGAAGAACCCAAGGATTTCCTATGGGCTCAAACATCATCTGCTATCTGGTATTTAAAGAAAGTGCACATATACACCCCCGTACCTTTTTGTGTAAATGTTTCAAATTTTTCAAAGTTAGCCTGTTAACATGCAGTGTTTCCAACAAAGTTTTTAAAGCAAAAGTCTAAAATTTGTCATACCCTGTCTTGGTCTGATTATAGATTAATTTGGCTGAGCCATCAGCTTTTCTGATAGATCTGAATCATATCTCTTTTTCATGTCATTTTAGTAATAGAACCCATGATCGGAGGAGACATAAATACACATGAAAGTAATTTTTGGTGTTTCATAAATGAAGGGAAAAAATGCGTTTTATATTCCTATAGGACAATATCTGCAAGACAGTGTAATGCTAAAATTCTAATACATAATTTTAGCTCTATTTAAATTTGAAGCATGATTTTTTTTCTATATAGTGTGCACAAGATGATATTGGCACTTGAAAACATGATTTTTTTTTCGTATTTTTTTTCTATAGCATCTGTTTTGTTCTTCTACCCTTATACTAACTTTTACCTTTAGAAAGGCCATCGCTAACCAGCCACTAATCAAGGAAACTTCTGAGCTAACTGTGTCGACTGGAGGCAATTGACCAGGTGAAATAGAGGTTGGTTAGAAGGTTAGGATGTTGTAAAACGTAATAGCAGGATTGTCTAGTCATCCTGAAAACAGTTAAGGGATCCAGAACTCTGAAGCTCTTTTTGGTCTAAGTTATATAGGTGAGCTGAGAAGTTTGTTTAAATTCGTGTATACGTCAAGTATTATTGAAACAGCTCAATCCCAGACTTAGTTAAAAAACCATCATTGGAAGGAAAACATACCTGACAGATTTTTCGACTTAATGATAGATAATGTCATAGATGTTTTCTTGTATCAGAGCCAACACGTCATTTACTTTGCTTTTTAGTGTTATGAGTGGCATTTAGTTTAAAGTTTTCTGTCTTTTCTAGCATTCCCAAGTGATTTAATTTTCTCGTTTTGCAGTGGGAGTTGCAATCATGACAGAAAAGGTTATGTCCTTCAGAGACAAATTTCTATGAAAAGTAAGGTCTCACCAGGATTTTTATCAGCATTCACTAAAACATGCTGTCCCATGTCAGATACATTTATCCATAATCTCCAAGTTAAGCTAAAAAATGTAAGTTGAAAGTAGGGTTTATTTACAGTGTGCTTTGTACCTGATGATTGTTGAGCTACTGCATTAAAAGCAGTTAACAAGAGATGATTCACCACTGAACACAGGTGCATTCCTCTATCAGCATTCTGTTCATTTTAACTTTTACACAAAATGTGAGAACAATGTGAGATACTGTAGGCAGACATTTCACTCGGCTTTTAAAAAATCTGACTTGTAAGTTATATTCCCTACTAAAATTTTACCTTCCTTAAGTACCTAAAGCTTGACTCAGAATTAGATAACACATATATGTCATATACTGTTATTTACCTGGGTTGAAGGGTCATTTTTGTCGATGAACTATGAAATGTATTATAGCAAAGTGCTATCCTAAGAACTGATTATGTGGAATTCATGTGGTAATAAAACTGAACGGTTCACTACCATAAGACATCACTATTCTTCTAAGCAAGCTAATGGATCATGTTATCTCCAACAGAAGACGGAGATCATAGGTCTCTGCTTTTCAAACTTTAGCAGGTTTAATGATTTCACAAAATTTTGACAAATAATAATAATTTATCTTCTTTCCTCCTGGGAAGGCAAGTACCTTCTGGGTCCTATGTCTAAGAATTTCTGTCATAAACTTGTTTCATCTGAATGCTCTTAAACAATAAATCAGTTATTGAAAAATATTTCTAAGTACTCACCTTGGTTAGATTCATTATTAAGACTTGAACCGGTGATACAGCTCTCTCCATTTCCAACCCCATCCAGGGACCCAGCACAGTGCTTTTTGGTTCCCAGGAGAACAGTGAAGCACTAACACTGATGTTATCCAGGGTTTCAGGCCCAAATTCCTATCCAGCCTCTTGACATGTTGGGTTGGAGCCACGGGAGGGTTTCCAAGACCCCTTTACACTTTCTTTTTTTTTTTTCTCTTCTTTTTTTTTTTTTTTTTTTTTTTTTGAGACAGAGTCTCGCTCTTTTACCCAGGCTGGAGTGCAATGGCACGATCTCGGCTCACTGCAACTTCCACCTCCCAGGTTCTCAAGTGATTGTCCTGCCTCAGCCTACCAAGCAGCTGGGATACAGGCGTGGGCCACCACACCCAGCTAGGTTTTTGTTTTTCTTTTTTTTCTTTTTTTTTTTTTTTTTTTAGTAGACATGGGGTTTCACTATGTTGGACAGGCTGGTCTCAAACTCCTGACCTCAGGTGATCCACCCACCTCCTTTTATTTAATATTAAACCAGAGAGATTTTTTAAGAGGCCATCCAGCATGATAGGTAAGAGAAGGTGCCTCACATCTCGCTCTGTCATTTCCATGCTGTTGTAATTACTTGAGTTCTACGTGCCTTAGTTCCTCTTCTGTAAATTAAGAGTAAAAGTAGTATCTACTTCATATAGATTAATAATTAAAATGAGTAAATGTAAATATAATGTTCATATAAATATCTTAGAAAAGGGCCTGACACATGAGATACCCAGAAATATAAGCCAGTGTTGTGATAAACTATTACACTACCTGATTATATCCTTTTTTTCTAGATTCTATATTAGGCTTGCTTGAATTTTCTAATCCTATTAAACTAATTTTGTAGGATGAACTAGAAGGAAGAAAGACACATAAAAGTAAATAAACATGATTCTCATTGCTACAACCACATAAACCGTCGTAGAAAAGGTAACCTGACCTGGCCGGGCGCGGTGGCTCACGCCTGTAATCCCAGCACTTTGGGAGGCCGAGGTGGTTGGATCGCGAGGTCAAGAGATCGAGACCATCCTGGCTAACGTGGTAAAACCCCATCTCTACTAAAAATACAAAAAATTAGCTGGGCATGGTGGCGGGCGCCTGTAGTCCCAGCTACTCGGGAGGCTGAGGCAGGAGAATGGCGTGAACCCAGGAGTCGGAGTTTGCAGTGAGCCGAGATCGCGCCACTGCACTCCAGCCTGGGAGACAGAGGAAGACTCCATCTCAAAAAAAAAAAAAAGAAAGAAAGAAAAGGTAACCTGACCCACAAGTTGTTCTTATCAGACAGCTAGAATCATCTTTAATACCTCCTTCAGACTCTCTCCTTTTCCAGTTAGGAAACAAATCCTGTGTATTCTACCTCTAGACAATATTTTAATTCCTTATCTCTCTCCATATCCACTGCAGCTACCAAGCTACCTCAAACTACTGTCGTTTTTCATCTGGTCTATTTAGAGATCACGTTTGGTACTCATTTGCAGACCACCGCTTTTTGAATAAACCACATAATCCTTATAATATTCTATACTTGCTTAAATGAACGGGCCTCATCTGTGCTCCAGGTTCATCTCCTGCCTCCTCCCACTCCCCATGGGCCCCTTCACTCACAAGGCCCCAGCAGAACACTTTCCTTCTGCTCATGGAACAACCTGAGTGACTTCTCACTTTCATGCACCTAGAATATCCTCTCCTACCTTCTTTGCTTGGGCTCAGTCTTCAGGTTTTATTCGACTCATGTCTTTGTCAAGGAAGCATTTCCTGAATGCTTGGACCACATTATGTGTTCCCATTTCCCACTTACCTGGCACACTGTGCTTTTTACCATGATAGAACTTCCCTTGGTTACAGTCATACAAATGGCAGTTTAATTATGTATTGAATGTGTATCCTGCTGTCTAAACTAGAACCTCCTGAAGGTATAATGTGCCTTTCTTTTTCTATACTGCATGAACATTAACAAGAACATTAGGGGTGCAATAAATATTTTTGAATTAATAAAAAGCTCCTGTTTTGTTCTACCAAAAGCCCCCAAATCTGCAGTGACTGTCATTTTGCAAATCATCATCTCAGAACTCTCTTACCTTTGGTATGGAGTGATGCAAAACCCCATAAGGAAGAATCAGGAGATTTGGATTATAATCCTAATTTGTGACATCATGCAACCTCCCTGAGATTTAGTTCCATCAGCTGCAAAATGTTGAGGCTTTCATTAAGGAATTGTCTCTTTTAGTTCTTTTTAGTCTCTTTTAGTTCTCTTTTAGTTCTTTTTATTTTCAAACTTCTGACTCTGCAATGCTTCAAATTATCCCATTCATATCAATGATTACCTCCTTTTACTATCAATTTTTTAAAATCTCACGTTAGGAATAATTAGGTTTGAGAAAATGCACTATGACAAAGTGTGAAGTCAATGACTTGTTAAAATAAAGTTGTGTTTTACTTAACACAATAGAAATTATGTTTGAAAAACAATAGCATGTAAATGGATGAGACCTATTTCATCAAAAGACAACGCTTACTGTGCTTAGAAATTTCAGTCCCCCTGAGACTACTCTGTTCCCGTTTCTCAATCCCTGTCTAACAATTTCCCTTCTCACCTTTCTCTACCCTCATCAGTTCTCATCCCTTCCCCACCCTGTATACCTTCACTTTCCTGAATGGGTTGTGTGATTCAGTTCTCACAAAAGCCTCATGAAACAGGCGCCATTACTACTCTCCCGTTTTATAGCTGACAAAGCTTAGAGAGTTAGGTATGTTGTCAAAGGTCACACTTGTAGTAAGTAAAGATAAGCAGAGCTGACTTCTCCATTAGGCACAGTGCCTATAGCTCACAAAAAATATTTCAATTTATTTTAAAATCAGAAGAAAAAATGAAATTTTAGGTTAATAAAAAGTCTTATCATATAGTAATGTATCTTTCTAAGCCAGCACAGTCACATAATACAATTATATACATATTTGTGGAAAATAACATAGACACAAACACTAAAGGGTTGCTAGTTTTATGTGGTTACTGTGTTGTACCCTCAGATACAAGTTGACCAGTATCTCTACTTTTGTAAGCTTCAAAATGATTCCAGTGAATTCCCTGTATTAGGATATCACTTATTAGTAAAATAATAACAACTGTTATTTATCTGGGTGAATGTGGTATACAAATCGTTTGTTCAGATACATTGTCACATATTTCCATACCCTTTATAACATATTCTTTTTTCTGCCCTTGAGGATTTACATATGGTTGCTTCTCCTGCCCCCACCACCAAACATGTGATTTTTTGCTAAGCACATTTTCCCCTTCTTTCAGCCTCCTAGTATTACATTAAATTTTCAGAGCTAACCACTAGTATGAATTGATCAAACAGCTGATTTTATACACTAGTTTTGTATTTGAACACATCTTTCAAATGATACCAAGAAATCATGCATTTTTAAAGGGTTTTATGTAGGTGTCTTTCATAAGATATTGAATGTTGTGCTTTTGTTCCCAAATAAATAAATCAACTGGCTATTCAGACTAGTGGAAGAAAATGAAAAAATCTTTTGTTCCCAAGCAACACATACCTGTTGGTATTCACCTTCCTGAGATCTGTTTCTAAGAGACCCTCGCTATTGAGATTGTTAGCAAGTTCTTGAATGACAAATTGTTTCCTGTAATATGATCATAATACACTGGGTGATGGGTTGATACAATATGGAATTTAATTAATAGGAAACATTTTTTTAAAATCCCCTTTTCTCTTAGGAGCTTTACAAAAGTGATGTCTTGAAAGGCAGAGCTGCCATGTATAACAATGACTTAATTCTACCTTCTGTTATCACGGTTTGAGGTGATTTCCCTTCTTTTCCCCTGCCTATTTCTTATCTCTCTACTAATATTATTTGTAGCAGTCGTGATTATAGAATCAGAGACTATATGAGATAAAAAGGACTATGAGAGGTCAAGAAGTGGAAATGCTTCATGCAAGCTCCCCTAAAAGATAACTATATCTTTAAATTTTATAAAAGAAAAAAGCCCATTTTCTCTATTTGTTGTCCATTTATGATTTACAGGGAAGCTTTCATTTTTTGACCTGTTCTGCTATACTCTTTCTGATTCTTTCTCACTTTAATACCTAATATTGTCCCTCTTTATATTCGACCATGTTTAAACACTTTCCCTTAGCTTTCTTGTACAGTCTCTAAATATCTGGATAAGATAAATGCTACCAAGGTTTCCATTGGCTGTGAGACTTTAGGTAAGACTTGACACCAGTTGTTCTTGTTTTTCTTCCTTTTTCAAAACAAGGGCGGTTGCTATAGTTTGATTGGGCTGATAGCTAATGTCCTATTTTGGTATAAATGAAATCAGAGATAATAATGAAAATAATATTCACTTTCTGGAATGGTTACAGCATTAATAAATATGATTTATCAAGCACATAGACCGATGGCTAGCAAGTTGTTTTATGCAATAGGTTATTACTTGTAAATTATTCACTTAATCCATGAAACAGTAACTTTAATGCATTGCAAATATGAGAAATACTATTTGTTATGCACCTTAATCTCAGATATGGTTTGGAGATTTACACAAAATACTAGGGTTCCTTTGTTCAGGAATTGTGGATGATGCCAATTTAGCAATTACTTTTCTCTAACGACACTTAAGTTTGGTGAAATTACTTTTTCTTAGGTTGCTGGCTGTTACTATTTTTATTCCTTTTTTTTTTTTTTTTTTTTTTTGAGACAGAGTCTCACTCTGTCACCCAGGCTGGAGTGCAGTAGCACGATATCGGCTCACTGCAAGCTCTGCCTCCAGGGTTCATGCCATTCTCCTGCCTCAGCCTCCCGAGTAGAGTAGCTGGGACTACAGGTGCCCGCCACCGTGCTCGGCTAATTTTTTGTATTTTTAGTAGAGACCAGTTTTCACCGTGTTTGCCAGGATGGTCTCGATCTCCTGACCTCACGATCCTCCCGCCTCGGCCTCCCAAAGTGCTGGGATTATAGGCGTGAGCCACCTCGCCTGGCCCACTATTTTTATTCTTTAACAAACTACTATTAGAGGGTTTTTTGTTTCTTGGGTTTTTTTTTTTTTTTTTTTGAGAGTCTCACTTTGTTGCTAAGGCTGGAGTACAGTGGCACCATCTCAGCTCACGTCAACCTATGCCTCCTGGGTTCAAGCGATTCTTTTACCTCAGCCACCAGAGTAGCTGGGATTACAGGTGCGTACATCCACACCTGGAATTTTTTTTTTTTTTTTTTTTTTTTTTTGAGACAGAGTCTCATCTGTCGCCCAGGCTGGAGTGCAGTGGCACGATCTCGGCTCACTGCAAGCCCCACCCGCCAGGTTCACGCCATTCTCCTGCCTCAGCCTCCCGAATACCTGGGACTACAGGTGGCCCCCAGACCATGACCAGCTAATTTTTTGTGTTTTTAGTACAGACGGGGTTTCACCGTGTTAGCCAGGATGATCTCGATCTCCTGACCTCGTGATCCGCCCGCCTTGGCCTCCCAAAGTGCTGGGATTACAGGCATGAGCCACTGCGCCCCGTCTTTTTTTTTTAATTTAATTTTTTTAATTTTTTTTTTATTTTTAGTAGAGACGAGGTTTCACCATGTTAACCGTACTGGTTTCAAACTCCTGATCTCAAGTGAACCGCCCACTTCAGCCTCCCAGAGTGCTGGGGTTACAGGTGTGAGCCACCATCCCTGGCCTACAATGAGTGTTTGAGTGCTACCCAATGTATAACAGTATTTGAAGAATCAAATACATATTACTTCTTGGGAGTTGTGGAATATGTCTGTGAGAAGACCACATTAGCACCTACTTCTATCTATTTAGTCTGTGGTAAGCCAAGGTCTCAAAAAAGAAAAAAAAAATTGCATATTTAAGTAAACAACATTATGCAATGATTAAAATGGCATGTAAATTTCATACACAAATAATGTTTTTCCCTACTACATTAAGTGTTCACATGGCTTAGATCAGGCCAGATGTTGCAAGATCTTAGAATGGTTGGGACTCAGCCCACAGTAGGGGTGAAAGAAATTCTTTAAACACTTTTCCAGAGATCAAAATTACTCCCTTCTCTTTCCTGTGTCAGCAATATATTATTAATGAAATTTTGCCTTCAATCCCTTTCTTGTTTTGTTTTCTAGCGTACTACTTTTCCTTTCTCCTGCTAATTTATGTACATCATATATCATCAAAAGTCACAGAAAATTTACAAGTTTCCCAATCTTAGCCATTAAATTATGAATCTGTTTTAAAGAAATAAACATAGGAAGAAACAAGTTTTGGAAGAAAATATTTTTAGGCAAACTGATCCTTTCTTGTCACCACTTACCTTATGATTTTAGTAATGCTTTACATTAGTGTCTGAAATTGACCAAGTGGCTTCAAAAATATGTCAACGTCACCTCTTTGGCCAGGAATCTAAGTAAATGGTGAGAAGGGGCCATTAGCTCTTAGGGAGCTGTATAATCAGAAGAAAGCTGATTAGTATTTTAGATTTTCTTAGAGAATTTGAAAAAGAAAAACAGCATATACGAAATGGTAGAAGGTAGAGTCAATGATCAGTGATGGCTAAACTGCATGATTTTAGAATTATTCACAGGAGAAGCTAGGGACACCACTGGATTTGTTGGAAAGACTATCACGACAAGATAAAGACAGGGAGTTGAGGGATACATAGAAAGGACATGAAGTAGGCAGAACAAATAAATTTCAATGTTCCAAGAGTCCAGCATTCAAGGTCTCTACCACTGACTGCAAGATAACTAGATTTTTATTCAATTTTTTTTCCAGGTCTTTCTGGCTGCCCTAGTTAATGATAAAGAGAATGCCAAGTTTTACAAGAGATTCCCCTCAAGTGTCTAACCTGGAGGAGAATATAGGTACATTATACCTATTGATTCAGATTGGAATAAATAATCCAGAAAGCAGAGTGCATGCTTCCAACTCTTGCTTATCAGAGAAACAAACAGAATTCCTTGATTTTGCCTTTCTAAATATCTTCTCTTGATTTTCCTGAGGTTTTTGAGATGTGATTAATTCGAAACACAGGTAAGTCACAGAAAAAGCTTTCTCTAGGAATTACAGTGATTTTGGAGTTATATTTGCATTCTTTTGTCTCTAAGAGTTTTTAGGCTTTCCACAGTTTTTATCTTTTGTTTTTTTTTCATGTCAGATCAAATCCTTTCTCTAAGTAATAACAAGTTTCATTAGTGAAAAATAGATCAGCTTAAAGTCATGCAAGTAAGTCTTAGTTAATGATTTTCCTTTTCAAGTAAAATACCATTTTGGTATTTATCTTATCAAAATGTAGTTGATATTTAAAGTAAACATTTTATCATAGACCTAAAATTATTTTTAAAGGCTTTTAAAATTCTTTACATGTTAAATAGCTCAGTACTCATAGTACCTTATATATTTTCCTAGTGCTTTATTAAATGTTGCTAAACACTTTAATGCTCATTATCTTATTTGGTACTAACAACACACTTGAGTTAGTTGAGGTAAGCATTTGCCCATTTGAATGTAATATTTATGCTATTTTATGGGTTAATTGACAATTTGCAAAGTGTACCATCTGTACAGCACTCGAATATGAAAACTCGGTGGGGTAGGGAAATGAAAGTAGGTAAGCAGTAGATATTTTTATTTCTAGCGGAGATATTAATAGCTAGTAGATTTTTTAAATGGCATATATAAAAATCATATTAAAAGGTCTTGTACAGTTTTTTTACTCCAACAAATCAAATTCTTTACTCAGCTTTAACATTAGATAGATCTAAATACAGTTAGAATGTGGTTATTAATTTTCAGGTTACTGACTGGTGCTTGGTGTTTTTCTATTCCTGCAGGATCAGTTAGGGTTTAGAACTTGCATATTTCCCAGGGCTCCCATAACAAAGTACCAAAAACTGGGTGATTAAAACAATAGCTATTGATTGTCTCACAGTCCTGGAGGCTAGAAGTCTGAAATCAAGGTGTGAGCAGGGCCGTGCTCTCTTTTAACGGTGATGGAGGATAATCATTTCTTGCCTCTTCCAGCTTCTGGTGTTTGCCAGCAATCCTTGCCTTACAGAAGCATCACTCGTGTTACATGCCATCTTTTCCCTACGTCTTCACATTGTTTTCACTCTGTGCATGCTGCCTTTGTGTCCAAATTTTTCCTGTCGTATAAAACTAGAAATATTGGATTAGGGTCCACCTGAATGTCCTCATTTTAACTTAATTACCTCTGTTAAGGGTAAGAGTCTTTCAAAAGACTCTATTTCCGAAGTAGATCACACTCTGAGGCACTGCAGGCTTGGACTTAAACAGATCTCTTCGGAGGGACATAATTCAATCCATAACAAGATTCAGTTATTTTCAGATAGAAAGGGCTAACCTAATATTTGTCAACTCTATATGTCTCGAGCACTTCACAGTTAAGCACATGTATGTATGTGTGTGTGTATATATATATGTACATATATATATGTACATATATATATGTACATATATATATGTACATATATATATGTACATATATATATGTACATATATATATGTACATATATATGTATCACGTTCTGTTTTCTAAGGTAGTTATTTGAGGACATTTGAGCTCTTCCACTAGATTTGATGGTCCCTCAACAAAGTAACTGTGGCTTGTTCATCATTGTACTCCCTCAAATCACTACTTCTGAGCCTTCAAAATAGTAGGAAAACAATAAATGTTGAAGTTGTATTAGATTAAGAAATAAGCTATAAAGCATATTTGGCCTGTTGTACTTAAACAGGGAGAATAATTACATGAAAAAAAACCTTCAAATGGCCAGCTTTATGTATATATAAGTGTATATATTTATACAATATATATAATTGAAAAGGAGAGATTTGCTCTTACTAAAAAAATGCTTAAAAAGAAATAATGACTACAATTCAATAGTAATAGTAACCATATTAATACTACTAGTGAAGACAACAGCTGACATTTCTGATGATATATCAGGCCCTGGGCCTGGGAGCTCTCATACATCACCTTATTTAATCTTTAGGACAACTTTTTTGAGAATGTTGAAGAGGTACGGAAATGGAGGTACAGAGATTTTAAGTGAAATTTCCAATATCACCTAGTTAATAAATGGCAAAGCTAAAAATCAAACATGTGTGTTTAACTATTACACTGATATGTATGTCAGTTGGGTGTGTTATTGTAAAATGTTAAAGAATCCATAAGTATAGTCTGTTCACAACATTATTAAATAACATACATTTAGCTATACATCAAAGGCCGTACAGGTAGAAATATACTTTGTATCATTCTAAAAAACAATTTTAAGTAGTTAATTTAAAAATAGCATTAAGCAATGCAAGAAAGCTAAACTAAAAGTAATATTAATTTAGTTAACTGTACAAATTAGTGTCCAAACCTATCTAAACTTATGTAATTACAAATCCCTGAAAACTGAAAATTATAATAAAAATGCTAATACGTGTTTAATAGGGCCAATGATAAAAATTATAGAATTAATTTATGAATCAGTTATATAATGAAAATGCCATCCAACTCCTAAAATTGTGTGGGTTATGTAATATAATTAAAATATCACTTGTCCTTGAATGTAGTATAAATTCTTAGCAGCTATTTCTATAAGATGCTATGGGAACAACCTTACAATAACAACAGAGGCTGCAGAGTTCCATATTTTACTGGTATATTGCTAAATTTTTCTAGTAATATTTAGGTGATAGAATGATAATATGCCAAAACATTGAGGAGTCAACATAGTACTGAGATTGGAAACATTAACTGTGTTAGCAGGTTTACTTTAAATAACTCCTGTATTTGACTATACATTTTAAGTTGAGCTTGCTATAATTCGAATCGTATTTGATAAAATTCACTGAAGTAAGGACATATTAAAAGCTATAACCATGAATCTTAGTATTTACCTTAGCACAAAATATCACATAAACTACCACTACAAGTGAAATTTTCCCCATTCATGTCACAGGAAACAGTATGAGTTTAGAAAATATTTGCAGAATAATAACCAATATTTTACTTTACTGCATAGTAGATTTTAAAAATTGATGGAGAAAAACATAAAATTGTAAATTAAGAGTAACAATTGAATGTCCATATTTAAATAAATTATTTTGTAAGCTTTAGGGAAGATCAACATGCAAAATCTTTCAAATAACTAGATTGAGGTGGGGATGAAAGAAAGAGGAAAAGGAAATTGTAAGTAATGCAATATTTACTGAAGGCTTACTCTTTAAGTTAGACTTGAAGACCATGAGGAAATGTTGAAAAAGACAAGATCCCAGTTTTCCAGGGAGTGACATATTAGTGACGAAGATAGAGAATTATAATGAAGTCAAATAGATAAGCCATATGCTTAGGCATCGTGGTTGTCACAAAGAAAATCAATAAAGAAGGTAATAAAAAATAACTTGAGAAGAACAGTCAGTAAAAGCTTCTCTGAGGAGGTAACATTTGTATGGAGACCTAAAGTGTAAGGCACAAACTAAGAGGTGTTTAGACAAAGCGAAAAAGAGAAAAGACTAAAGTTAAAAATCAAAGAAGTACTCCAAGAATCAAAGGCATTGCAGATTTGTCTTCACCTGGATCCAGTAGCTTAGGTTGTATTTTTTTTTTTTTTTTTTTTTTTTTTTTTGAGACGGAGTCTCTCACTGTCTCACCAGGCTGGAGTGCTGTGGCGAGATCTCGGCTCACTGCAACCTCTAACTCACTGGTTCAAGCGATTCTCCTGCCCCAGCCTCCCTAATAGCTGGGATTACAGGTATGCGCCACCACACCCAGCTAATTTTTGTATTTTTATTTTTAGTAGAGACAGTGTTTCACCATGTTGGCCAGGATGGTCTCAGTCTCCTGACCTCGTGATCTGCCTGCCTCAGCCTCCCAAAATGCTGGGATTACAGGTGAGCAACCACGCCCGGCTGGTTGTGTGTCTTCAACCGTATCATGCCTCTGCTGTTTTGAGCTATGCTTGAAAATGTAGTTGATCAGGGAGCAAAGAAAACATGAGAAGTAGATAGCAGTAGGGGGAGACAAGAACGGAAGAACCTGAATTCTGACAAGATCCAGCCAACCTGAATGAAGACCAAAGACTGAAAGAAGAAAAACAAAAGAAATGGGGAAAAAAGAACAAGGTCTCTAAGTTCAGAAGAACTGCAGAGGAGCCAAGTTTGTCAGAAAACTATAGGCAACCCCATGTGAAACGGCTCCTGGGGTTTACACGGAACATGCAATTTCTAAAGACAGTTTGAGCCTGCACTTAAAGCAGACAGGGAAATGAAATAAGAGAAGGCGCAGCAAGTTCCAGGCAATGTTATGCAGATAGAACTGGAGATAAGAGGTGGTTTAAGGAGCATTCTCACTATTTCATTTGGAATGGCAAGTGGAAAAAAAAAAAAAGGATTATCTGCCTCCTGCTCAGGCTAAGGCAAAAATCACAAAAACAAGATATCATCTAACAGTGGGTGCCTTAAGGAGAAGGGGAAAAAACCTGCCTCTCGCATGCAGCATGCAGCATAATCACTCAAGAGGTATAGAACAAAGATTAGGTTATCTAAATGTATGATAAATTACATACACAGAGCACGTATATTTTAGTACAACTTTCTTAACCCCATTATATGTACACAATTTTGAGATTTACCTATCAGCATTAGTTGTTACTGATTACAGTGGGTAATCTTGATAGAATTACTTAGCAGTGGTGTTGAAATACTGTGAATTTCCAGGAAAAAAAAAATTGGGTTTGACTGAATAGATTCATGCTACGTTTTCAAGAATGGTTGTACAACATTTGAGAGTTAGACTGTATTTTAAGAGGTGAAAAATGGGTTTGAAACCTAATCTAGATGCCTTCTACTCATAGACTGTTTACTCAGTTCTCTCCTAAAATTGTGAATTGCACAGGGTTCCCATCCAAGAGGCAAAGGGGCTTCTTGGGCTTAAGCCACAGGGAGGAAAGGGAAGAACATCCTTTGTTCAGAATGTTTTACTCTCCTCCTAGCACTTGCAAACATTGTGAAGTCCATGGTTACCATACATGTGGTTAGAATTCATATACTGCCGGGAACATACAAGTGAACTATTCTGGTAGAACAAATTAGAGGATTATGCTTGATTAACTATCTAAAATTCATTTTATCAAACATTCATTCATTGGAGGAATACTTTCGACATCTACTATGTGCAAAGGACTGTTGTAGGAACTGAAAAACCATCAGTGAATGAAACAAAGTTCCCTTAGAGCTTACATTCTGCTGTATAGAGGGAGAGAAGATGAAAAGGAATAAGTAAAATGATACCAAGTGGTGATAACTGCTAAATAAATAATAAAGTAACATCAAAGGAGTAGAGGTCCCAAGATGGGAGAGTGCTTTATATACAGTAGTCAAGGTATGCATCAGAGGTAAGATGACATTTGAACAGGTATCAGAAGGAAAGGAAGGAAGGAACCCCAAGGATCTCTGGGGCAAATGTATTCAAAGGAGATAGAGCAGTAAACAGAAGTCCTGATGTAGAAGTGTTTGATGTGTTCAGGAAGCAGTAGGAAGTCAGTCTGTTTTGAGCAGGTTAATACAAGAGAAGAACGATGGCAGACAGGATGAGAAGGTACAGAAACTTGTAGACAAATATCCAGACTTTTTTTTTTTCTCTCTAAATGAGGTAAGAAGTTAATGAAAGGTTTCATGCAGGGAAATAATATGTTATATTATTTAAATTATTTTTAATAGGTAATATACTTAAGTGGTTTAACCATAAAGATGATATATAACAGTTTCACACTAAAAGTCCTTGCTCCCATTCCTGTCTCCATTCACTTGGTTTACCTGCATTTTCAAGAAACCATTTTTAATTAGCTGTCCTGTAAGATTATCTTTAGGCAAATACAAGGATTTCTAAGTATATTTCTCTCCCCACTGCCTCACTTTTTACACCAATGTGATTGGCTATTGTTATACTCCTTTTCTCTGTGGCTCTTTTTATTAAACCATACATTCTAGAGAGTTCTATATCAATAAACAGATCACTCTCATTTTGTATACAGCTGCATGCTATTCTGTTGTATGGATATATCATAATTAAATTATCCTTATCCTATTTTTGGCCACTTCAGTTTCTAATTTTTGCCATTATAAACAGTGTCACAAAGGAAAAGGAACCCTTCTATTTAATTTCATACATGTTAGGTAGCTACGTTCTCACAAGTTAACACATTCTCAAGGTGGAGGCTGCTCTTAAGAGGTTATATGTGTGTTTTTGATAAATACTGCCAGATGCCCCTCAAAAGACTTAAATCATCTGTACTCTCACTAGCCACCACATAGGATGTAACTTGAACTTATCTTTTTAGGAATTACACTGAGCATCTTTTGATGTAATTATTAGACATTTGCATTTCATTTTTCTCCTGTTAAGTATCCATTTCTCCCATTTCCTCATTTTAAAAATCAGATCGTTGGTCTTTTTGTCAACTTCAGTAGCCTTTACTCTGTTAGGAAGAATAGGCTATAACTTGTACTGTTTCACCAATGTCTTTTCCAGTTTACAGTTTCTTTTAACTTGCTTTTATTCTTACCTCAACGATTATGTAATTAAATGTATGACTTTATAAAGCTAATTCTGACTGCTTTGCTTTGTGTGTATTCCAAGTGGACGAGGATGGCAGTAAGGAGTCAAGTTAGGAGGCTACTGTTTCTCTGCTAGAGAAACAACGGTGGCCGGGCGCAGCGGCTCACGCCTGTAATCCCAGCACTTTGGGAGGCCGAGGCGGGCGGATCACGAGGTCAGGAGATTGAGACCATCCTGGCTAACATGGTGAAACCCCGTCTCTCCTAAAAATACAAAACAATTAGCCAGGCGTGGTGGCGGGCGCCTGCAGTCCCAGCTACTCGGGAGGCTGAGGCAGGAGAATGGCGTGAACCCGGGAGGTGGAGCTTGTAGTGAGCTGAGATTACGCCACTGCACTCCAGCCTGGGCAGCAGAGGAGGCTCCCTTGCAAAAGAAAAGAAACAATGGCGGCTTACATTAACATGACAATAGCGGAAATAAAAAGGTTTTAGATCCAGTACATATTTTAAAGGTACAGCCAAGAAAATACGCTAATGGATATTGGTCGTGGAGGTGGAGAAGAGTTGAGGATGAAGCCACTATTTCTGATTTGAGCAACTTAAAGATGGTGTTGCCCTTAACTGATTCCATGGACATACAGATTTAGGATGAGACTTCCAAAGGAAGATGGTAAATAGGCAATTGGATTATCAGGTCTGGGGAGAACTCTGGGCTGGAGATATGAATTTGGAAGCAGTGAATATATAAACATTAAAAATCATAAGACTAGAAAACCGAAAGGAAATAAATGTAGTTAGGAAAGAAGAGAAAAAGAAACACTGAGTCGTGGGGAAATGGGAAGAAAGCAATTAAAAAAGATGAAAAGAGAATGGCCCTTATGGTCAGAGAGAAACAAAGAAGTCCCCAAAGTAAAGTGAAGAGATATTTCAAGAAATGAATGACTATCATTACAGAATGCTACCTATATTAGCAACGAATTTGAGTGAAACGAGAGCTGAGAATAGTTCATTTAATTTAGCTATGTGAATGACCTGACTTTTACAAGATTTATTTTGGCAGAGTGATGAGGTGAAAGAAAAAATCGGGATGTGGTGAGATT